>NC_000006.12:19756969-19908484 GCF_000001405.40 Homo sapiens
TGCAGTGAGCCAAGATCACACCATTGCACTCCAGCCTAGGCAACAGAGCGAGATTTTGCCACACACACAAAAAAAACTAACAAAAAAAACCACCCAAATTAGCCAAGCCAGAGAAATGCAGTAGTGTATTAATTCACCAGTGCTCATCAAATGAGGCTGAACAGGTTAAAAACTGGAATTTCTGGGCTTCTGCCCCACTACGATAAAACCACTTATGTAAAGGTTTAATTCCTGAGTACAGTGACCTTGAGTAAATTTCCCTGTCCTCCAGGCTTGTCCTCCCCCACAAAATCTTCCCTGACTGCCTAAGAATTCTTAAAATTCCTTTCATGTGAGGCAAATTTTTTCATTTCAAAAATGGCTCTAGAAGAAGCTATACATTTACTTAATTTTACATTAAGGTATGGATATCCTTAGAAGGGGTACCTCCTCTCTTAGTAAAATTCAAAGCCGTTAAAATTTAGCACTGGAAGGAGAATCTACTACTGAGGAAGGTTGGCTTCGTGGGACATCGACTCTTTCCTGTTCCACTGCTTGCCAGTTTTTTGTTTTGTTTGGTTGTGCTTTGTTTTTGTATTGTTTTGTTTTGTCTTTTGAGACAGAGTCTCACTCTGTCTCCCAGGCTGGAGTGCAGTGGTGCAATCTCGGCTCACTGCAACCTCTTCCTCCTGAGTTTGAGCAATTCTCCTGCCTTAGCTTCCCAGGAAGCTGGGATTACAGTCTCCTGTCACCACGCCCAGCTAATTTTTTTGCATTTTTAGTAGAGACAGGGTTTCACCATGTTGGCCAGGCTGGTTTCGAACTCCTGATCTCAAGTGATCCACCCGCTCTGGCCTCCCAAAGTGCTAGGATTACAGGCATGAGCCATCACACCCAGCCTCCTCACCAGTTTTACCCCTTTGGGTTCTCTCCCTGTGGTTACTGTGGCAGCCCCCATGCTAACCCTCAGGAATACCATGCTCTTCCATTAATATTCTGAGTCATGTATGGCTAAAACTTCTTTTCTTAGTGCCTCTAACATAGCAGATGCTGACTGGAACACCCAGGTCTTTATTCTGTATTAAAATACAACGCTGACAGGAGCAGGGGAAATAGAGAAAACAAGAAAAGGAAAGAAAGAAAGGGAAGTCACATGCTATGACTCTGTATCTAGGGGCTTTATATGTCTGGGAGCTATTTCATTTTGTCCCCACATCAATCAGATAGGGAAGGTTTCATTATTCATGCTTTGTAAGTGGTACAAGACTCAGAGATTTAGGAACTTGCCCAGAATCAATCATTGGTAAATGACAGAGCTGGAATCCAAACCCAGGTGTGCATGACCTCACAGAGTAAGGTCACACCTGGCTCACATCAAGGGCTTGCTCACTTGAGGGCACCAAAGGACCCCCACAGCCTCTCCGTTAAGTTGCTTAGGTTCCCCAGTAACTCCCCATAACCAATCTATCTCTGTAGGGAAGCTGCTGACACCTTCCAAAGGGAACCACCTCTCTGACACCTGACTAAGCTCATGGGTCAGATCAAAAGAAACACCCTGCCGCCCACCAGGATTTGTCTCTCTGGGTTTTGGCTGTCCAGCCTCAGACACTCTTTCCAAGGTGACTGATACCCACTCAAATCCAGTAGATCCCTGACCTTTACACACAGACCACCACACAACAGTTCCTTATGACCACACAGGCTTCCATATGCCTTCCACACAGCAGTTACACATAATATAACAACGGAGAATACTTCCCCTACAGACAATAGTAGCCTATTCTTACCTGAGGAGGCTACTAATTGTAGAAAGGAGGAAGAATAAGGTAGAAACAACTGTAAGCAAATGGGCTTAAAGAGAAGAGCAGTTTGGGTGTTAACAAAATCAGTCCCTTTCCCCTTTCTCCGTGAAGATCCTGCTCATTTCTGAGGCTCAGCACAGATTCCTCATCCTCGTGAAGCTTTCTCTGTTGTCTCCATGTAGTCCCAATTTACCCATTCTCTCATCCCATAATGTTTTGTTTATACCCTTTTTATTCCCCTAAAATTATGCTGTCCTATGATATAATTAGTTGTTTATGGTCCTCCACCCCAAGTAAAGTGAAAGCTCCTTGTGAGCAAGGATTGTGCCCAGTCTTACGCAGTTCCCCAGGCATGTGCGAGGTAGTAACAGTAGTAATAACAGTAATGGTAATGGCCACCATTTATTAAGTACTTACCACTGAGTACTCCTATCCATGCAACCCTTGCAATAAGGAACATTACCTGTCTTTTACAGATGTAGACACCAAAGTTTAAAATGACTAAGCAGCTTCCCCAAAGTCACACAACCAGTATATGGCTTCCATCCCACATCTGACTAACTCCCAAAGGATGTGGTTTTTCCCAGTCACCTCCAAATAAGTGTTTACTGAAAGAATAATAGTAAAACTTCACCCGTTTCCCAATTTTCCTCTGCAAATGCCTCCAAGTAAATTAAACAGGCAGAAGAGATTTTCTGTTGTTGTTACTGTCCAATAGGGTCCTGCCGAAGAAATCCAAATTTCATGGGCTTGTACTTCTAAGAGTCATCAGTAGCTCTGACATAAACATGTATGCATATAAAAAATAAATATGTATCTAAAGATACACCATTTTACTTTTATCTCTTCCATTATTTAGGTGGTCCTCTTATACTGGAGATATTCTTTTACCTATTATGAAGCAAGCCGGCTGACTCACTACTGTTCTAATGATAGTCTGTCTCCCTGACAACTCCTATAGATACCCTGGGGATACTCACACCCTGTGGGAAGGTATAAAACAAACCAGAGAATTTTCTGAGATCTATATTAGTATGTATTAAGCAATGTGAACTCAGTATTTTCATTTTTAATAGAATGAAAAATCTATAAGAAAACTAAATAGTCTTCAGATTATTTTCTGTGGGGAAAAAATGATTCATTCCTCGATTAATCAAGCTTCATGGCACTGCGCACAAAATCCGTTTGCCAGAGGTCAGTGCTGTGAATATTAAATGGTTTTTGTGCTAGAATATTTAGATTATCCTAGCTTTTGGATACAAAGACTATTCCTACTCCGCTGAGGCAGAGAAGTGTCTTCTACCTGATGATAGTGTGAATCGGACATGAGCAGACAAGCCATGAGGAATATGAAATTACCATTATTGATGGTGGGGAAGTTAGAAGTAAAGAAAGAAAAATAAAGATAAGGAAGTCACACAAACACACTTAAAGACACATTCTTGGGAGAAGAGAATAGGAAAAGAGATGCTATGGCCACTATGGTACATTGGGCAGCCAGGATCTTCTATAATGACCAAAGCGATAGGCTAACAACAGTATAAATCTCCATTGATGTTATAAGGTTTAAAAAATGTCTTTCACTCATTTGGTTCATCAATGAATCAAATTAATTTTTTTTAACAAATTGACTAGGGTTATTAACTCTGTTGGGCTGTTATTGGGAAAACAAGAAAATAATAAAAGATGGTTTTTTCCCTTGGGGCTCTCATAGTCTCCACTGCACATATATTGAATGCTTGCCCTGGGCCAGGCACTGTTCCCATGTCTGTTGGCCCCACTAGACAAGAAATCTTCAAATGTAGGAAAAGACAACCACGTAAGAAAACCATTATGATGAGGCATAATCAGTGCTAACGGTGGGATGGCCTTGGGATATATTATCAATATATTATTAATATATTGATTGAGATTATCTTGATTAATGACTAAATGCTAACTACATTGCGTGGCAACATGGGCCTGAGACACTCTGCCACTTTTGAAAAACAACAGAGAAAATTAGCCAGGGATGATAGCCAGTGCTGTAGTCACAACTACTCACTCGGGAGGCTGAGGCATGAGAATTGACTGAACCCAGGAGGCGGAGGTTGCAGTGAGCTGAGATCATGCCACTGCACTCCAGCCTGGGTGACAGAGCAAGACTTTGCCAAAAAACACAACAAAACAAAACAAACAAACAAAAAACCAGTATCCTCATAGTAGCATCCCAGTGTCTTTAAGGGAATGGAAATAGAGGTGGCTGGAAACAAGGGCAGAAGCCAAGCATAAAGGATCTCAGATACTTTCATCTGGATTTTGAACTTTATCCCATCAGTAATGGAGAAATACTAAGGAACTAAATGTACACAGAGAAAAATATAACCAACAGCATAAGGGAATAAATATGAAGAACTAATGATTAAGAGCTAGGAAGGTGAATGAACAAAGAAATGAGAAGATTATTTGTGGCAGACATGACAACCATTTCTTACCCTCCTTTCTCTTGCTTGACTCTCACTACAAAGTCAAAAATCAGTATACTGGCTTTCTAGCCTCCTTTAGAATTAAAGTAGGTCATGTGACCAATCATGTTGCCATAGGATCCTGGTTAGGACAATGAGCTTAAGAGAATATTCGCTGGGGCTTTCTGCATACACAAACCCAAAGGAATTGTACTAGTTAACAAAGATTTTCCTTTCTAAATGAGAGTAAAGGCTCACCAAGCAAGATTCCTCTCATCCCCTGCCACTCCCTATTTAATGCCTTTGTAAAAACTGTAATTTGGTGAATCCCAATACTGTAATGGCCAATTTAGGATCATGATCGGGAGGTTCAGGGTACTGTTTCCTAAACTGATATCAATCTCTTCAAATAAATCATTCCTGCCTGAAGTGTCTCCTCTAGTGAACAGACTGTCAGTAACCACCCAATTATCACAACTTCTTTTCTAAAGTAAGTAAACAAAACTTCATTTTGCAGCATCATCAGGTTCAACAGAGTCAGAAAAATAAAAATAAACGGCAGATAAGTGAAGAATAAAGTGAAGTCCCATATGGGTTTTTGTTCAGATGGCCATGCAATGTAATTTAATAGAATGAGCACTAGACAGAAAGCCAGATTCTGCTACTTGCTTTGTTTTTCATTAGATTATCAGGTTAGATGAACTACAAAACGAGGAAGCCAACTGGAAATCAGGACCTGAAACAGGATTCATCCCCTGGGCTTGAAATCATGCTGGATACAAAGACGGCCATGAATAATGGCCCAGGAAAAGCCCAGGTGAACTACTGTGTTCTTTCTGCTGCTGTGTTTTATTCCTGCCTTTCTTTATGTTGGTGTTCTACTTCAAGATCACAGAGAAACTGGAACCTACCTCTTTACAACTTACAGTAGGAGGAATTATTAGTAGAATAGAAACTTGGGTCCTGGAAGCTATCTAGGAATGTATTGCCATAACTGAGTTCCAGATCAGAGTGAGATCAATAGCCTTTAGAGTTGTTATATATAAATCAATGCAGTCCTTCCTTTCTAAAGTGGGACTGATCTTGAAGACAGGGAGGCTGTTTGGCCACTCCTGGGGACACGTAGTGAAGCTATATGGGAAGGATGGATTCCCACCAGGAAAAGAGAAAAGATCTGATAGGCTTCTTTCTATCTGGCTGAAATGAAGGCCTAGAATCTCCAAGTTTACTCACTTCTGATTTTCCTGTGACTATTCTAAGAACCAATTCAGAGATTTGCTAAAAAGTAGAGCTACATATAGATTTTCTGTACTTTAATTTTAATGAGGGATGCTGAGAAGTAGGCTTAATCCCCCCAAAATTCATTGCAATGTGTATACAAGAACCTCTGGGACATACGGGTATACCTTACTTTATTGTGCTTCACAGATATCGGGAGTTTTGTTGTTATTGTTTTGGTGTTTTTTTTAGAGACAGGGTCTCACTCAGACGTCCAGGCTGGAGTGTAGTGGTGTGATCACAGCTCAGTGCAGCCCCAAACTCCGGGGCTCAAGCAATCCTCACACCTCAGCCTCCAGAGTAGGTGAAACTACAGGTACAAGCCACCGCACCCAGCAGATATTGTATTTTCTTTTTACAAACTGAAGGTTTGTGGCAACCCCACTTTGAGCAAGCCTCTTGGCATTTTTCCAACAGCATGTGCTCAGTTTGTGTCTTTGTGTCACATTTTGGTAATTCTTACAATATTTCAAACTTTCACATTATTGTAATATCTGTTATGGTGATCTGTGATCAGTGATCTTTGATGTTACTACTGTAATTTTGGGGAGTGGCACAAATTGCATCCATATAAAATGGCAAATTTAATACACAAATGTTGTGTGGTTTTGTGTGTTCTGAATGCTCCACCAACCAGCCATTTGGCCATGTCTCTCCTTCCCTTGGGCCTCCCTATTTCCTGAGACACAACAATATTAAAATTAGGCAATTAAAAACCCTGCAATGGCCTCTAAGTGATTAAGTAAGAGTTGCACATCTTTCACTTTAAATCAAAAACTAGAAATGATTAGGCATAGTGAGGAAGGCATATATAAAGCCAAGATGGGCTAAAAGCTAGGCCTTTAGTACCAAACAATTAACCAAGTTGTGAATGCAAAGGAAAAGTAATTCAAAAATAATATTAAAAAGTGCTACTCCAGTGAACACACAAATGATAAGAACACAGAACAGTTTTATGGCTACTATGTAGAAAGTTTAAGTGGTCTGGATAGAAGATCAAACCAACCACAACACTCACAACATTCCCATAAGTCAAAGCTTAATTCAGAGCAAGACTCTAACTCTCATTAATTCTATGAAGGCTGAGAGAGATGAGGAAGTTGCACAAGAAAAGCCTGAAGCTAGCAGAGGTTGGTTCATGACGTTTAAGGAAAGAAGCCATCTGAGGTTGGTTCATGACGTTTAAGGAAAGAAGCCATCTCTAGAACATCAAAGGATAAGGTGAAGCAGCAAGTGCTGATATAGAATCTGCAGCAAGTTATCCAGAAGATCTAGCTAAGATCATTGATGAAGGTGGCTACACTGAACAGCCGATTTTCATTGTACATGAAACAGCCCTATATTGGAAGAGGATGCCATGTAGGACATTCATAGCTAGATAGAAGAAGTCAGTACCTGGTTTCAAAGCTTCAAAGGACAGGTTGACTCTCTGTTAGGGACTAATGCAGCTGGTGTCATTAAGTTGAAACTAGTGCTCATTTACCATTCCAAAAATCCTAGGGCCCTTAAGAATTATGCTAAATCTACTCTACTTCTGCTTCATAAATAAAACAACAAAACCTGGATGACAGCACATCTGTTTACAACATGGTTTATTGAATTTTTAATTTTTAATTTATTTATTTTTTAAGTTATTTTATTTAATTATTTTATTTAATTTTTAATTTTTTATTTGTATTTTTATTTTTATTTTTTTGAGACAGAGTCTCACTCTGTCGCCCAGGATGGAGTGCAGTGACGCAATCTCGACTCACTGCAAGCTCCGCCTCCTGGGTTCATGCCATTCTCCTGCCTCAGCCTCCCGAGTAGCTGGGACTACAGGCGCCCGCCACCACACCTGGCTAATTTTTTGTATTTTTAGTAGAGATGGGGTTTCACTGTGTTAGCCAGGATGGTCTCGATCTCCTGACCTCGTGATCTGCCCACTTCAGCCTCCCAAAGTGCTGGGAGGTTTACTGAATATTTTAAGCCCACTGTTGAGATCTTTCATTTGGGAAAAAAAAAGCCTTTCAAATATTACTACTCACTGACAATGCACCTGGTTACCCAAGAGCTCTGAGGGAGATGCACAGGAGATGAACATTGTTTCCATGCCTGCTAATACAGCATTCATCCTGTAGCCCATGTATCAAGGCGTCATTTCGACTTTCAAATCTTATTATGTAAGAAATACATCTTGTAAAGCCATAGACAGTGATTCCCCTGATGGATCTAGGCAAACTACATGGAAAACCTTCTGGAAAGGGATCACCATTCTAGATGCCATTAAGAACAACCATGGCCGGGCACAGTGGCTCACCCCTGTAATCCCAGCACTTTGGGAGGCTGTGGTGGAGGATAACTTGAGCCCAGGAGTTGAGACTAAAACCAGCCTGAGCAACATGGCAAAACCCTGTCTCCAGGAGAAAAAAAAACTAACTGGAGCCAAGATGGCCGAATAGGAACAGCTCCGGTCTACAGCTCCCAGCGTGAGCGACGCAGAAGACGGGTGATTTCTGCATTTCCATCTGAGGTACCGGGTTCATCTCAATAGGGAGTGCCAGACAGTGGGCGCAGGTCAGTGTGTGTGCGCACCGTGCGCAAGCCGAAGCAGGGCGAGGCATTGCCTCACCTGGGAAGCGCAAGGGGTCAGGGAGTTCCCTTTCCGAGTCAAAGAAAGGGGTGACGGACGTACCTGGAAAATCGGGTCACTCCCACCCGAATATTGCGCTTTTCAGACCGGCTTAAGAAACGGCGCACCACGAGACTATATCCCACACCTGGCTCAGAGGGTCCTACGCCCACGGAATCTCGCTGATTGCTAGCACAGCAGTCTGAGATCAAACTGCAAGGCGGCAACGAGGCTGGGGGAGGGGCGCCCGCCATTGCCCAGGCTTGCTTAGGTAAACAAAGCAGCCGGGAAGCTCGAACTGGGTGGAGCCCACCACAGCTCAAGGAGGCCTGCCTGCCTCTGTAGGCTCCACCTCTGGGGGCAGGGCACAGACAAACAAAAAGACAGCAGTAACCTCTGCAGACTTAAGTGTCCCTGTCTGACAGCTTTGAAGAGAGCAGTGGTTCTCCCAGCACGCAGCTGGAGATCTGAGAACGGGCAGACTGCCTCCTCAAGTGGGTCCCTGACCCCTGACCCCCGAGCAGCCTAACTGGGAGGCACCCCCCAGCAGGGGCACACTGACACCTCACACGGCAGGGTATTCCAACAGACCTGCAGCTGAGGGTCCTGTCTGTTAGAAGGAAAACTAACAACCAGAAAGGACATCTACACCGAAAACCCATCTGTACATCACCATCATCAAAGACCAAAAGTAGATAAAACCACAAAGATGGGGAAAAAACAGAACAGAAAAACTGGAAACTCTAAAACGCAGAGCACCTCTCCTCCTCCAAAGGAACGCAGTTCCTCACTAGCAACAGAACAAAGCTGGATGGAGAATGATTTTGACGAGCTGAGAGAAGAAGGCTTCAGACGATCAAATTACTCTGAGCTACGGGAGGACATTCAAACCAAAGGCAAAGAAGTTGAAAACTTTGAAAAAAATTTAGAAGAATGTATAACTAGAATAACCAATACAGAGAAGTGCTTAAAGGAGCTGATGGAGCTGAAAACCAAGGCTCGAGAACTACGTGAAGAATGCAGAAGCCTCAGGAGCCGATGCGATCAACTGGAAGAAAGGGTATCAGCAATGGAAGATGAAATGAATGAAATGAAGCGAGAAGGGAAGTTTAGAGAAAAAAGAATAAAAAGAAATGAGCAAAGCCTCCAAGAAATATAGGACTATGTGAAAAGACCAAATCTACGTCTGATTGGTGTACCTGAAAGTGATGTGGAGAATGGAACCAAGTTGGAAAACACTCTGCAGGATATTATCCAGGAGAACTTCCCCAATCTAGCAAGGCAGGCCAACGTTCAGATTCAGGAAATACAGAGAACGCCACAAAGATACTCCTCGAGAAGAGCAACTCCAAGACACATAATTGTCAGATTCACCAAAGTTGAAATGAAGGAAAAAATGTTAAGGGCAGCCAGAGAGAAAGGTCGGGTTACCCTCAAAGGAAAGCCCATCAGACTAACAGCGGATCTCTCGGCAGAAACCCTACAAGCCAGAAGAGAGTGGGGGCCAATATTCAACATTCTTAAAGAAAAGAATTTTCAACCCAGAATTTCATATCCAGCCAAACTAAGCTTCATAAGTGAAGGAGAAATAAAATACTTTATAGACAAGCAAATGCTGAGAGATTTTGTCACCACCAGGCCTGCCCTAAAAGAGCTCCTGAAGGAAGCACTAAACATGGAAAGGAACAACTGGTACCAGCCGCTGCAAAATCATGCCAAAATGTAAAGACCATCGAGACTAGGAAGAAACTGCATCAACTAATGAGCAAAATCACCAGCTAACATCATAATGACAGGATCAAATTCACACATAACAATATTAACTTTAAATATAAATGGACTAAATTCTGCAATTAAAAGACACAGACTGGCAAGTTGGATAAAGAGTCAAGACCCATCAGTGTGCTGTATTCAGGAAACCCATCTCACGTGCAGAGACACACATAGGCTCAAAATAAAAGGATGGAGGAAGATCTACCAAGCAAATGGAAAACAAAAAAAGGCAGGGGTTGCAATCCTAGTCTCTGATAAAACAGACTTCAAACCAACAAAGATCAAAAGAGACAAAGAAGGCCATTACATAATGGTAAAGGGATCAATTCAACAAGAGGAGCTAACTATCCTAAATATTTATGCACCCAATACAGGAGCACCCAGATTCATAAAGCAAGTCCTGAGTGACCTACAAAGAGACTTAGACTCCCACACATTAATAATGGGAGACTTTAACACCCCACTGTCAACATTAGACAGATCAACGAGACAGAAAGTCAACAAGGATACCCAGGAATTGAACTCAGCTCTGCACCAAGCAGACCTAATAGACATCTACAGAACTCTCCACCCCAAATCAACAGAATATACATTTTTTTCAGCACCACACCACACCTATTCCAAAATTGACCACATAGTTGGAAGTAAAGCTCTCCTCAGCAAATGTAAAAGAACAGAAATTATAACAAACTATCTCTCAGACCACAGTGCAATCAAACTAGAACTCAGGATTAAGAATCTCACTCAAAGCCGCTCAACTACATGGAAACTGAACAACCTGCTCCTGAATGACTACTGGGTACATAACGAAATGAAGGCAGAAATAAAGATGTTCTTTGAAACCAACGAGAACAAAGACACCACATACCAGAATCTCTGGGACGCATTCAAAGCAGTGTGTAGAGGGAAATTTATAGCACTAAATGCCTACAAGAGAAAGCAGGAAAGATCCAAAATTGACACCCTAACATCACAATTAAAAGAACTAGAAAAGCAAGAGCAAACACATTCAAAAGCTAGCAGAAGGCAAGAAATAACTAAAATCAGAGCAGAACTGAAGGAAATAGAGACACAAAAAACCCTTCAAAAAATCAATGAATCCAGGAGCTGGTTTTTTGAAAGGATCAACAAAATTGATAGACCGCTAGCAAGACTAATAAAGAAAAAAAGAGAGAAGAATCAAATAGACACAATAAAAAATGATAAAGGGGATATCACCACCGATCCCACAGAAATACAAACTACCATCAGAGAATACTACAAACACCTCTACGCAAATAAACTAGAAAATCTAGAAGAAATGGATACATTCCTCAACACATACACTCTCCCAAGACTAAACCAGGAAGAAGCTGAATCTCTGACTAGACCAATAACAGGCTCTGAAATTGTGGCAATAATCAATAGTTTACCAACCAAAAAGAGTCCAGGACCAGATGGATTCACAGCCGAATTCTACCAGAGGTACAAGGAGGAACTGGTACCATTCCTTCTGAAACTATTCCAATCAATAGAAAAAGAGGGAATCCTCCCTAACTCATTTTATGAGGCCAGCATCATTCTGATACCAAAGCCGGGCAGAGACACAACCAAAAAAGAGAATTTTAGACCAATATCCTTGATGAACATTGATGCAAAAATCCTCAATAAAATACTGGCAAACCGAATCCAGCAGCACATCAAAAAGCTTATCCACCATGATCAAGTGGGCTTCATCCCTGGGATGCAAGGCTGGTTCAATATACGCAAATCAATAAATGTAATCCAGCATATAAACAGAGCCAAAGACAAAAACCACATGATTATCTCAATAGATGCAGAAAAAGCCTTTGACAAAATTCAACAACCCTTCATGCTAAAAACTCTCAATAAATTAGGTATTGATGGGACGTATTTCAAAATAATAAGAGCTATCTATGACAAACCCACAGCCAATATCATACTGAATGGGCAAAAACTGGAAGCATTCCCTTTGAAAACTGGCACAAGACAGGGATGCCCTCTCTCACCGCTCCTATTCAACATAGTGTTGGAAGTTCTGGCCAGGGCAATCAGGCAGGAGAAGGAAATAAAGGGTATTCAATTAGGAAAAGAGGAAGTCAAATTGTCCCTGTTTGCAGACGACATGATTGTTTATCTAGAAAACCCCATCATCTCAGCCCAAAATCTCCTTAAGCTGATAAGCAACTTCAGCAAAGTCTCAGGATACAAAATCAATGTACAAAAATCACAAGCATTCTTATACACCAACAACAGACAAACAGAGAGCCAAATCATGGGTGAACTCCCATTCACAATTGCTTCAAAGAGAATAAAATACTTAGGAATCCAACTTACAAGGGATGTGAAGGACCTCTTCAAGGAGAACTACAAACCACTGCTCAAGGAAATAAAAGAGGACACAAACAAATGGAAGAACATTCCATGCTCATGGGTAGGAAGAATCAATATCGTGAAAATGGCCATACTGCCCAAGGTAATTTACAGATTCAATGCCATCCCCATCAAGCTACCAATGACTTTCTTCACAGAATTGGAAAAAACTACTTTAAAGTTCATATGGAACCAAAAAAGAGCCCGCATTGCCAAGTCAATCCTAAACCAAAAGAACAAAGCTGGAGGCATCACACTACCTGACTTCAAACTATACTACAAGGCTACAGTAACCAAAACAGCATGGTACTGGTACCAAAACAGAGATATAGATCAATGGAACAGAACAGAGCCCTCAGAAATAATGCCGCATATCTACAACTATCTGATCTTTGACAAACCTGAGAAAAACAAGCAATGGGGAAAGGATTCCCTATTTAATAAATGGTGCTGGGAAAACTGGCTAGCCATATGTAGAAAGCTGAAACTGGATCCCTTCCTTACACCTTATACAAAAATCAATTCAAGATGGATTAAAGATTTAAACGTTAGACCTAAAACCATAAAAACCCTAGAAGAAAACCTAGGCATTACCATTCAGGACATAGGCGTGGGCAAGGACTTCATGTCCAAAACACCAAAAGCAATGGCAACAAAAACCAAAATTGACAAATGGGATCTAATTAAACTAAAGAGCTTCTGCACAGCAAAAGAAACTACCATCAGAGTGAACAGGCAACCTACAACATGGGAGAAAATTTTTGCAACCTACTCATCTGACAAAGGGCTAATATCCAGAATCTACAATGAACTCAAACAAATTTACAAGAAAAAAACAAACAACCCCATCAAAAAGTGGGCGAAGGACATGAACAGACACTTCTCAAAAGAAGACATTTATGCAGCCAAAAAACACATGAAAAAATGCTCATCATCACTGGCCATCAGAGAAATGCAAATCAAAACCACTATGAGATATCATCTCACACCAGTTAGAATGGCAATCATTAAAAAGTCAGGAAACAACAGGTGCTGGAGAGGATGTGGAGAAATAGGAACACTTTTACACTGTTGGTGGGACTGTAAACTAGTTCAACCATTGTGGAAGTCAGTGTGGCGATTCCTCAGGGATCTAGAACTAGAAATACCATTTGACCCAGCCATCCCATTACTGGGTATATACCCAAAGGACTATAAATCATGCTGCTATAAAGACACATGCACACGTATGTTTATTGCGGCACTATTCACAATAGCAAAGACTTGGAACCAACCCAAATGTCCAACAATGATAGTCTGGATTAAGAAAATGTGGCACATATACACCATGGAATACTATGCAGCCATAAAAAATGATGAGTTCATATCCTTTGTAGGGACATGGATGAAATTGGAAACCATCATTCTCAGTAAACTATCGCAAGAACAAAAAACCAAACACCGCATATTCTCACTCATAGGTGGGAATTGAACAATGAGATCACATGGACACAGGAAGGGGAATATCACACTCTGGGGACTGTGGTGGGGTCGGGGGAGGGGGGAGGGATAGCATTGGGAGATATACCTAATGCTAGATGACACATTAGTGGGTGCAGCGCACCAGCATGGCACATGTATACATATGTAACTAACCTGCACAATGTGCACATGTACCCTAAAACTGAGAGTATAATAAAAAAAAAAAAAAATAAAAAAAAAATAAAAAAAAAAAAAAAAAAAAAAGAAAAAAAAACTAACTGGGTATGGTGGCATGTGCCTGTAGTCCCAGTGACTTGGAAGGCTGAGGTGGGAGGATCGACTGAGCCCGGGATTTCAAGGCTGGCTGCAGTGAGCCATAATCATGCAACTGCATTCCAACCTGGGCAACAGAGTGAGACCCTGTCTCTAAAAAAAAAAAAAAAAAAAAAAAAAAAAGAATCATGATTAATGGAAGGAAGTCAAATATCACCATTAACAGGAGTTTGGAAGAAGTTGATTCCAAACCTAATGGGTGACTTTGAGGGGTTCTAGGCTTCAGGGGAGGAAAGAATCACAGATGTGGTAAAAATAACAAGAGAACTAGAGTTAGAAGTGGAGTCTGGGCTGGGCGCGGTAGCTCACGCCTGTAATCCCAGCACTTTGGGAGACCAAGGCGGGCGGATGACAAGGTCGGGAGATCGAGACCATCCTGGCTAACACGGTGATACCCCATCTCTACAAAAAATACAAAAAAAAAAAATTAGCCAGGCGTGGTGGCGGGGGCGTGGAGGCTGAGGCAGGAGAAGGGCATGAACCCAGGAGGCGGAGCTTGCAGTGAGCCGAAATGGTGCCACTGTACTCCAGCCTGGGCGACAGAGCGAGACTCCGTTTCAAAAAAAAAAAAAAGAAGTGGAGTCTGAAGATGTGACAATTGCTGTAATCTCACAATAAAACTTGAACGCATAAGAAGTTGCTTCTTATGGATGAACAAAGAAAGCAGTCTCTGGAGATGGAATCTTTTCCTGATGAAGGTGCTATGAACAATGTTGAATGACAAAGAGGAATTTAAAATATTAAATAAACCTAGTTGATTAAGCAGTGCCGGGGTTTGAGAGGATTGACACCAATTTTGAAAGAAGTTCTATGTGAGTAAAATGCTATCAGACAGCATTGAATGCTACAGAGAAATCGTTCGTGAAAGGAAGTGTCAACCAATGTGGCAACCTTCAGTGTTGCCTTAACAAATTGCCACAGCCACCTCAACCTTCAGCAACCACCAACCTAACCAGTCAGCAGCCATCCACATCCAGACAAGACTCTCCACCAGCAGAAAGATTATGACTCACTGAAGTCTCAGATGATTGCTGGCAATTTTTAGCAACAAAGTATTTTTAAATTATGCAAGTTTTTTAAGCCATAATGCTATTGCACACTTAATAGAGTATATATGGTATAGTATAAACTTAATAGAGTATATACGGTATAGTGTAAACTTATAGAGTATGTATGGCATAGTGTAATAGACTATATACGGTATAGTGTAAACTTAATATGAGTATATATGGTATAGTGTAACCTTTATGTGCATTTAGAAACCAAAAAACAAATGTGTGACTTGTTTTACTATGATATTTGCTTTATTGTGGTGGTCTGGAACCAAACCTGTGATATCTCTGAGTTATGCCTATATAGAAGTAAAACAGAGCTTAATTAAAGACAAAAACTATTCCCGGCCAGGAGCGGTGGCTCACGCCTATAATCCTAACACTTTGGGAGGCCAAGGCGGGCAGATCACCAGAGGTCAGGAGTTTGAGAGCAACGTGGCCAACACGGTGAAACCCCATCTCTACTAAAAATACAAAAAATTAGCTGGCCATGGTGGCAGGCACCTGTAATCCCAACGACTTGGGAGGCTGAGGCAGGATAATCTCTTGAACCCGGGAGGCAGAGGTTACAGTGAGCTGAGATTGCACCACTGCACTCCAGCCTGGGTGACAAGAGCAAAACTGTCTCAAAAATAAAAAATAAAAAATAATAATAATAATAATAATAAACTATTCCCTAACTAGCTCTGGACTAATCCAATTTGTACACTACCTTTAAAAGTTCCTTAAGCACTATGTTAACAATAAGGAGTAACAAAAGTCATATTAAACTGATACTACCCCAAATTTGTAAATCCATTTTGTAAAACCCTCCTTGTATTGTTGAATGTTTTATTGTTTACTTTTTGTATGATTGCTTATTGTTACATAGTTCTCTGCTGGGGTTTTGAATCTCTTAACACATCTTTTAGAGATTCTTAGTTTCACAGCTTCTGAAATGACAACACAGCTAAAACAGAAGAAAATACAGTATCAAACCCCTGCTGGTGTGATTCTGTATAGCTTACCCAGAATGGAAACATTGTGTTTATAAATTTGCATATCAACCCCAACCTGTGTAGGGATATCAATTGCTTCCTGTAGCTGTTCTTCTCTGTTTTCCTGAAAGTAAGGCATGCCAATGGAGTATGCCAGTGAGCTACTATCTTTTCTCTCCACACACACACAGGAATTATGCTAACCATTTAACTTCAATCTGTCTAGGAAACAGATTTCTTTTAATTAGAAGATTTGAGAGCAGGTGTAATGCTTACTATTAATAAAACAAATGATAAATCAATGCAAGATTTTAGTTAGAACTAATATATTTCTAATAAGTTTATTTTGACAAGTATATAATATGCTATCATCTCTGATTCTGATTAATACATTGATCATCAAATGAGACACGAATGTGGAATGCATTATCTCAGGTATCCTATTTCAAGGGCTTCAATTGTGGCAATTGAATATAATCATTTCAGTGCCTTGTAATTGTCAATGTCTGATCCACAAATATGATATATGCCTGAAAAGATGCATTGTAAACAGTATCAGGGTAAAGCCTCAATAAATTAGTAGCTTCTAGCTACTGGCATTTGAATCCAATAAAAAAGAAGCACTAAGGAAGATAGTTTTAAAAACGGATCTGGCTGGGTGCAGTTACTCATGCCTGTAATCCCAGCACTTTGGGAAGCTGAGGTGGGTGGATCACCTGAGGTTAGGAGTTCGGGACCAGCCTGACCAATATGGTGAAACCCTATCTCTACTAAAAATACAAAAATTATCTAGGCGTGGTGGCGTGCAGCTGTAGTCCCAGTTACTTGAGAGGCTGAGACATGAGAATTGCTTGAAACCGGGAAGTGGAGGTTGCAGTGAGCCAAGATCACGCTACTGCCGCCAGCCTGGGAGACAGAACGAGACTCCCTCTCAAAAAAAAAAAAAAGGATCTAGGTTCTGGAATAACATGACCATAATGTGGAACAAAAGATTCAGTTTAGAGAGGACCATGCCCACAGCTGCCACCAGCAAGGCCAGGACACTGCAACACTGTCTTACATATTCAAGGCTGATCATGAGTGCTATGGGCATGTTGGAGTTGTGGCTGCAAGAAATGCAGTTCTCAGAGTGTGATGTTCCCCTTCCTGTGTCCATGTGTTCTCATTGTTCAATTCCCACCTATGAGTGAGAATATGCGGTGTTTGGTTTTTTGTTCTTGCGATAGTTTACTGAGAATGATGATTTCCAATTTCATCCATGTCCCTACAAAGGACATGAACTCATCATTTTTTATGGCTGCATAGTATTCCATGGTGTATATGTGCCAGATTTTCTTAATCCAGTCTATCATTGTTGGACATTTGGGTTGGTTCCAAGTCTCTGTTATTGTAAATAGTGCCGCAATAAACATACGTGTGCATGTGTCTTTATAGCAGCATGTTGTGGGGTGGGGTGGGGGGAGGGGGGAGGGATAGCATTGGGAGATATACCTAATGCTAGATGACGAGTTAGTGGGTGCAGCGCACCAGCATGGCACATGTATACATATGTAACTAACCTGCACATTGTGCACATGTACCCTAAAACTTAAAGCATAATAATAATAAATAAATAAATAAAAAGAACTGCAGTTCTTTCTACACTGTGTGTAAGAAAGAAGTTTTGACTTCTGGTTGCAGCAATCATTAGCAGAACCTACATCTACTAAAAAAGATGCAGCCTATTTTTAATGCGATACCGCCAAGATCTGAATTGCCTTATGGTCTGACTTGCCCATTGCTTTCAGAAACCAGGCCTGAGCATCAAAAGTATATTCACATTTCTAAATACTTTAAGAATTATCTGAAATGTTCTTGGACCCTTAACTTAATGTGCACCTTTACTAGTACAAGTCATCTAGAGCTGCTTTGGACAGAAGTGCTAAAGGAACATAGGATAAGCTTTACAGAAATGTCCCATCTCCATCCAAACTCTACTCCTTGCTATAAATGTGTATTAAATATTTATATATTCTGGATAAAAGTTCTTTATACTTTGTGGGTAAAAGTTGTATGTTCTGAATAAAAGTTCCTTATACTTTGTGGGTAAAAGACATTTTTTGAAGAAATTCACAAGGTAACTTTAAATTTCATATAGAAATACAAAGGACCTAGACTAGCTGAAACAACTTTGAAAAACAACAAAGTTAGAAGATGAACACAGCCTAATTTCAAGATTTATTTTAAAACTACAATAATTAAGATGGTGTGCTATGGTGTTAAGATAGACAAAGAAATAGACTAGAGAGTCCAGAAATAGACTAGAGTCCAGAAATAGACCCATACTGTATTAGTCTGTTTTCACACCACTCTAAAGAATACCTGAGAATGGGTAATTTATGAAGAAAAATGGCTTGACTTACAGTTCCCTATACCTGGAGAGGTCTCAGGAAACTTACAATCATGGTAGAAGGTGAAAAGGAAGCAAAGACCTTCACATGGTGACAGGGGAGAGACAAGGGGAAACTGACAGACACTTTTAAACCATCAGATCTCATGAGAAATCCCTCACTATCACAAGAACAGCATGGGGGAAACAACTCCCATGATCCAATCATCTCTCACCAGCTACCTCCCCCAACAAGTGAGGATTACAATTTGAGATGAGATTTAGGTGGGGACAGAGCCAAACCATATCACATACACAATAACAAATTGGAGGTTTTCTGGACAACTATTCTAGGAAAATTCAATGGAAAAATGAAAAACTTTTCAATAACTGGTGCTAGAAAAAAAAATCCATATGCAAAAAAGTGAAACATAACATTTGATTCACATACACCAAAAAATTAACTCAAAAGTGAATCACAGGCCGGGTGCGGTGGCTCACACCTGTAATCCCAGCACTTTGGGAGGCCGAACCAGGTGGATAACATGAGGTCAGGAGTTTGAGACCAGCCTGGCCAACATGGTGAAACCCTGTCTCCACTAAAAATACAAAAATTAGCCAGGTGTGGTGGCACCTGCCTGCAATCCCAGCTACTCAGGAGGCTGAGGCACAAGAATCGCTTGAGCCAGGGAGACGGAAGTTGCTGTGAGCAGGGATCACACCTCTGCACTACAGCCTGGGCAACAGATCAAGACTCTGTCTCAAAAAAAAAAAAAATGGATCACAGAGACAAATATAAAAATAAAATTGTACAACTTCTAGAAGAAGGCATAGAAGAAAATGTTACTGACTTTGGATTGGGCAAATATGTTTTAACTAGGACCCAAAAAGAAAAAATTGACTGGATGTCATCAAAATGTTAAAAGTTTGCTAAAAAATTTTGCTATTTAAAAAACACTGTTAAGGAAATGAAAAGCTAGCCTACAAATTAGGAGAAAATATTTGCATTAACATGTAACTATAAAGGTTTGTATACAAAGTGTTTGTTCTTTTTTTTTTTTTTTTTTTTTTTAGAGACAGGGTCTCACTCTGTCATTCAGGCTGAAATGCAGTGGCATGGTTATAGCTTACTGTAACCTCAAACTCCTGGGCTCAAGCAATCCTCTTGCCTTAATCATTGCTTATGGGAATGCAAATGGATCTGCCACTTTGGAAAAAAATTATAAAGCAGTTCTTTATAAAGTTAAATATACACATACTATATGTCCCAGCAATTCCACTGTTAAGTACTTACCCAAGAAAAATGAAAGTAAAATTTGTGCTCAAGTTCAGAGCTGCTTTATTTTTAATGTCAGTAATTGTGAAAAACTAGAAAGAACTCAAATACCTATCAACTGGTGAAGAGATTAAATAATAAGTGAAATATTATTTAGCAACAAATAAGAATGAACTGATAACAAACAATAAGATGTTACAAAAAGCATTATATTAAATGAGAGAACCAGACAAAAAAGACTATAAAGTTCCATGTATATGAATTTCTAGAAAAGCCAGACTATAGTGATAAAAAGCAGATCATTATTACCATGGAGTAAAGAGGCAGGTGAAGGAAGTCACTGCCAAGAGGCCCACTGCAACTTTTAGTCGTAATGGAAATGTTCTATATCACGATTGTGGTAGTTGTCACAGAGCTGCATATGTTTGTCACAATTTATCAAATTATACGCTTAAAATTGAATTTTAGGCCGGGGTAGTGGCTTACACTTGCAATCCCAGCGACTTGGGAGGCCGAGGCAGGAGGATCACTTAAGGCCAGGAGTTCAAGACCAGCCTGAGCAACACAGTGAGATTCCCGTCTCTACAAAAAAAGAATTTTTTTAGTTGGCCAGTGTGGTGGTGTGTACCTGTAGTCCCAGCTACTTGGGCGGCAAGAGGATGCCTTGAGCCCAGGAGTTTGAGGCTGCAGTGAGCTATGATCACACCACTGCACTCCATCCTGTGCAGTGTGCAAGATCCTGTATCTAAAAGAAAAAAAATGAATTTTTTAATTTTTATTTATTTATTTTGAGACAGAGTTTCACTCTGTTGCCCAGGCTGGAGTGCAATGGCATGATCTTGGCTCACTGCAACCTCCGCCTCCCGTGTTCAAGCAATTCTCCTGCCTCAGCCTCTCGAGTAGCTGGGATTACAGGCATGCACCACCACACCTGGCTAATTTTTGTATTTTTAGTAGAGATGTGGTTTCACCATGTTGACCAGGTTGGTCTCGAACTCCTGACCTCAGGTGATTCACCCTCCTCGGCCTCCCAAAGTGCTGGGATTACAGGTGTGAGCCACCGCACCTGGCCAAAAAAAGAATTTTATTATATGTAAATTATGCCTCAATAAAGCTAACAAAAAATAGGAGGTTGCAATCAATCCCATGTATATCCTATGTGGACATGCAGGTGCCTCCTCATTACTACAGTTCATATCCAGGAAAAGCTTTCCAGAAGCTTTATTTTTAGACTGGTGGAATTCACAGTGCAAAATATCAGCCTCAACTCAAAAAAAGTCACCTAGCAATATATTAAGTTAAAAATATTATTTTACAAATGCTCCTATTTATTTTTTTATTTCCATAGGTTTTTGGGGGAACAGGTGGTGTTTGGTTACATGAATAAGTTCTTTAGTGGTGATTTCCGAGATTTTGGTGCACCCATCACCCTTTATTGTAATCAGAATAATGTAAAATTCTTCCTTGAGTTTAGATGTCAGGGTTACATAATATATGTAATTTGTGGACATAAGTATGGACTCTTCCGTAACAACGATTGTGGAGTTACTGGTCCCGGTTGATATTCTATTCTAGGAAAACTACTTTAAGTTTTCTACTTGCTAGGCCTCTTCAAAACAGTGAGCAGGAGTGATATCAAGAAATAAACTGCTCTGATGCCTTACTTCTATCTCAGAATAGCGAGCAAATTAATCAATGAAATTTTTCCAAAAGGTTATGGACATAGACAAATAAAATGAAGAGACATCAAGTGAATGTTTGAGCCATGTGGCAATGTCTTAAAGCAGACACACCTTTTTTGTTTGTTTGTTTGAGACAGAGTCTCACTCTGTTGCCCAGGCTGGAGTACAGTGGCGTGATCTCGGCTCACTGCAAACTCTGCCTCCCAGGTTTACTTACACCATTCTCCTGCCTCAGCCTCCCGAGTAGCTGGGACTACAGGCACCCGCCACCACGCCCGGCTAATTTTTTGTATTTTTAGTAGAGACGGGGTTTCACTGTGTTAGCCAGGATGGTCTCGATCTCCTGACCTCATGATCCACCCGCCTAGGCCTCCCAAAGTGCTGGGATTACAGGCGTGAGCTACCGCACCTGGCCAAGCAGACTCACATTTTCTATTCATGGACATTTAATCTATGATGGACCAAATGACTACAGACATGAGAAAACAATATGTGAGTATAGTCTGTTGGCTGGCAAGTCTAAAATACAGGATTCTATATTTACAAACATGGACATTAGCCAGTTATGATTATAGAAAAAATGACTGGCAGATCGAAAATGCTATAATGGGATGTATTTTTTTTTTGTCTTTTTGTTGAGACGGAGTCTCGCTCTGTCGCCCAGGCTGGAGTGAAGTGGTGCGATCTTGGCTCACTGCAACCTCTGCCTCCCGAGTTCAAGCGATTCTCCTGCCTCAGCCTCCCGAGTAGCTGGAATTAGAGGCGCCTGCCACCACGGCCAGCTAATTTTTTGTATTTTTAGTAGAGATGGGGTTTCACCATGTTGGCCAGGCTGGTCTTGAATGCCTAACCTGAAATGATCCACCTGCCTTGGCCTCCCAAAGTGCTGAGATTACAGGCGTGAGCCACTGCGCTCAGCCTGTATTTTAAAAAGATACAAAATGATGTGTACATATCTCAATGATTTTTTAATACACACAGGAGATCAAAAGACATACATAAAAATGTTAACAGTGATTGTCGATGCGTATTTTTTATTCCTTTCTATAATTTCCAAATTTTTATGAGAACATATTATTTTCATTATATTGACTAAGTAGACAGAAAGGAACACAAATAACACATCAGTGAGTTCATCACGACAGGCAATTTGTTTCACTCTACTAAGCTTACTATTTATACTTCAAGTGTTCCTTACTAGGGAAGAACTTTCACCTTGCACATAACGGTGTGACCTGCAAATAGTTCAGCTTCTACAAAATTCAAGTCAGTTGAGCAAGACAGCAATGGCTGGGAACACTTAACCACCAGGGCAGGTAATTCAGCACCTTAATATCAACAGTGCTCAGAAATGGAAACTTCCTCATTGTAAATGGCTTCTTCAAATGCTACATTCAGTTTGACACAAAGATAGTTCCCCGTGACAACAAGCTTATTAGTGTATTTTTAATATGAGGTAAAGGTATAAAACCATAGAAGTCATTTTCTTGAAAGTAAATGCAGAACAAGGCATTATCTGTTATAGAAGCATATGAAATGTGTTGAAAATTTACAAAGAAAACTGATGCTGTGGGAAATTTTAAGTACATTTCACATTGACAATCCAAAATATGAGAAAAATGTCTGGTGCATGTTTTGGGGAATGTTCATCCAAGATAACAGACTTTGAATATAAACAAGTACCTAGAAAACATTTTTGAATTACTAAAAACGGTATCTGTTCTTTTAAAAATGTACGGATTTGTGAAATAAATACCAGAAAATACCTGAAGGGGTGTAGTTATTGAGCTGGGCTACAAAGCTATGCATTTTACCTAAGACACTCTACTGACAAAAATACAAAATGGAAAAGCCTGACTTTTTGCAAGGAAAAATAAACCACAGGGGATCCAACTCAATCACAAAACATTATGCATTATGTAACATATTCATTTGAACCATTCCCTGAAATACAAACAATTGCTTCATCAAAGACGTAATAATAATATCAAATATTTGCTGAAATAGTATCTAATATTTGCTGAATTTATAGTATACACCAATGACTATTCTAAGAACTGATGTTTTGTATTAATTCATGGAATATCTACACATAGGAAATAGTATTTTTCTTCTGACTCTATCCAGAATTGACAAAGCGGATGGTTGGCTACTCTTGACCACTTCTCCCTAAGTCTATATCAAAAAAATTTTAATTAAGTGGTAATATGGGTTTTTTTTTTTAAATCTCATGCAACAAATTAATACTTTCAAAATTACCCTTAAAACCAGGGGAAATGCTCTCATCAAATATTCCTTGGAATTATTCAAATCCTACCTGACATTTTTCTGACTGGTCATTGCTCTGTATTATTAAGTACATTTTGTCAAAGTATTTATCATTGTTCATTAGCACTATTCTATGTACTTATTGTCACAGATTAGTGTCTGTCTAGAACAATGTCTACCTACCTCATTTGAATATAATGCTTTTTCCAAAGACTAAAAGCTCCTGGAGACTAGGGACCAGTTTTATCTTTATTTGGGTGGGGATTGGGGGGCAGAACAGTGCTGTACACTGTAGGTGGTTCAGTTGCTTTGAGCTGAAGTCCATTAAGCACTAATGTTTGAAAAGAATTTTCTTCACCTTAGCATGCAGTCAAATAACCTTGAAAGAGTCTCAGGTGTGAGGCAATATTAAAAGTGCAAGGCTGCCTGCACAGGTAATTAATAGAAAGAAAGCAGGACTCAGCTCATTCCCTGGGAAAATTCAGTAGTGGCATCTTTAGTAGAGCAAAAATCAGTTTTCAAGTACAGTATTAAATGACCTTCCTTCCTGCTCTGGCTCGAAGTAAATTAAATTAAGAGGCGTCAAACATGCACCCTCCCATGTGACATGTTCAGGCCCTGCTTGGGCTCATTACCAAGTAGGAAACTTTGGGCACATCTGTGTGCCTTGCCCGGCCTCATTTTCCCTTTCTGTCAGTTGGAGTAACCTCAAGAGGTCTTAATGAGGCCACGTAAGTAATGCACTTCCTCACTTAGTGAGCACTCAATCAATGGTAGCCAGCTAATCATTACCTCTCAGTAGCCTGTTGGTGGAGCAAAACATTGATGTTTGGTTTCACAGCAGACTTTGGAAGATAGCTCTGTTAGTGAAAGAGAGGGCTTCTCTTAGCCTGAGGAATGACTGAGCCAAAGGCTGTGATGGCCCGGTACTGTTCATCTGGTGAATTCTGTATGGAACACCCTCAAAGACTTAATATTCGCAAAACAGCTTTTTCCTGCCCACCCCCAATCCCCACCCCAGCGAGAATGTTCGCCTTTTTCTAGCTGTGGGGCACTAGGCAGACTCCTCTTCCAGTAGCTCCAGAGATGAGCCCCACAGGTCCCAGCCACAGTTCAGCCCCTGCTCCAGCTGTGGTGACCTTGAGCCCTCTCTCAAAAGCCTGACGGTCAGGCTCAGGAGTTGGAGTTAGAGTTTACCAAAGAAATGAACCAATAGGATATATATAGAGAGAGCGCGAGAGATAAGAAAATACATTATGGGAATTGACTCCCGTGATTATGGAAGATGAGAGGTCCCACAATCTGCCATCTGCAAGCAGAAGAACCAGGAAAGCCAGTAGTGTAATTCAGTACAAGGCCCAAGGCCTGAAGACTAAGCAAGCCAACGGTGTAAGTTCTGGGGTTTCAAGACCCAAGGAGCAGGAATTCTGAGGTCCTAGGGCAGAAGTTGGCCGTCCCAGCTCAAGAAGATTCACCCCTTTTCTGCCTTTTTGTTCTATCTGGGCCCTCAAGGATTGTATGGTGCTCACCCACATTGATGAGAGTGGATCTTCTTCACTCAGTCCATGAATTCAAATGCTAATCTCTTCTGCAGATACCCTCACAGACATAGCCAGAAATGATGCTTTACCAGATATCTGGGCATCCTGTAGCCCAGTCAAGTTGACACATGAAATTAACCATCACAGTGTGGGTATTGCAGGGAGAGAAACTGTGTAAAGGCTGGGAGGTTACAGTTACAGTGTATAAGTAGTTCTACGCTGGCCAGGGAATAGAATGGATGTAGTCCACGGTTTCTAGTTTCCATGGCTGAATGGTGGTGTCACTCAATGCTGAGCCTCAGTTTCCTCAAGTAGGCACATTTACCATCATAACACCTGCCTTGCCAACCTCAACATGTTATTTGATAATCAGAGAAGCTAAGAGACTCACAAAAGTATATTTTGGAAATAAAAGTGCTCATTATTTTTTCAAGACACTATTTGAAAAATATTCAAGAGATGTATCTCCCAGCTTCCTTGAGAATCTTAGACAAGTCACTGGACTCAGTTAGCTTGTCTGGAAAATGGGAATAACAACTCCATCTCACTAGGTTATTGTGAGACATGAAAATACAAATACTGTTTGCCTTCTGCAAATCCCAAAGTCAGCAAAATGTATATTAATTAATTAAATGTATCTCCCAAGGAGCAAACTTGAAGTTTCTGAGACATAATACAAGAGCCAGAAGTCTTTCTATTCCAATATATTAAAGCAGCATTTGTACTTCTGCCTCGCCCCCGGCCATTCCCGGCTGCATCTGTGGCACATGCTTTCTTTAATCTCACACAGTTTTCCTTCAATGAAGTTGGAAGATCGAATCCAATGTTTTGCCATTCCTTGCTCCCTTTTTTTTCTTTAGGTTGTTCTTTTCCTAACAGATTTTCTATACCCTATCATACCCCATGCCTTAGGAATTAAGAGTTGCCCCAAACAGTCCTTTGGGTAAAGCTCTGCACCCAGCATGCTTTGGCCCTGCTCATTCACAGACGGCTGTGCCTGGATATGTTTGCTCCAGGGGTGGCTTAGGACCCATGAAGTTCTTGTTTCCCTTGGAGATTAGAATTGCAAGGTTCACATGGGGTGCATTCAGCTCACACATACTTTCACACGTACTTTCGGTCTCTGTAAAAATTAAAATGCAGCAGGTATTGTTCCTGCAAATCTCTATGCAAAAACATTCTGCCCGCGCTGGCCAAGGAAATCAAGCCCATTATAGCTCCTTGTGCTCATCCTTCCTTCCAAGAAGAGAGGTCTCATACATATTAGGCTGCTGTAAACAGCAAGAAGATTGTTTTTAAATACATTCTTTTTGGCTTTTAAGTCTCTTTGGCTTTTGAATATGAGTGAATTAATATGGTCTTTGACATCACAAGAGTAAAAACAAACCACTGAAAAATGAGTAGTGAAGATTTGAATAGAACTAAATATTCCAAATCTGATCAGAAAATGCTTGTCAATCCCTCTGGTGTTTCTCCCCGTATCTAACATCTCCCAAACCATATATTCTTCCCAATAATACCAAAAAGAGAAAAAAGATATTTAACCTATAGAATCATATAGAGTGTGAATCTTAAAACATTAATTTCTCTCAAAGTAAATCTAGTGCCTATGGGCACTAGCAGCAGAGCATAGCTGCTAACACCTTCGTCCAACAAATCGAGGTTTAAATCCTGGTCCTGCTCCTTGGTATCTAATGACCTTAATTAAAGTGTTGTAATATTTCTGAGGTATTGGGATTTGATTAGAGGCATCCACTGGCAATAATTTGAGCAATGCTTTGACTACATCATTCCAGGTACTGCTCAGCAACAATTCAGAGAATTCATCCTTAAGATTCTGTTCTTTTCGAAACACATCCAGTACCAAAATCTGTATCAGACAGTGCTCACTTAGAGAAGCAGCACCAGTGGGAGGTAGATGATAAAATGATAAATAGATTATGTAGGTAGGTAGATAATTCATTACAGAAAATTAGCTTACTATCGTGGAGGCTGACTAAGCAAGTCCAACATCCCTAGCCCAGGGAACCAGGAAGGAAAGATCATGAGCAGAATGAAACTCACGGGCACAGGCCAGCACTGTCATCCACAGACAGAATTTCATCTCTTTGTAACAAAAACCTGGGGTCAGGCGCGGTGGCTCACGCCTGTAATCCCAGCGCTTTGGGAGGCCTACGCGGGCGGATCACGAGAAGAGGAGTTCGAGACCAGCCTGACCAACATGGTGAAACCCCATCTCTACTAAAAATACAAAAATTAGCCAGGCGTGGTGGTACATGCCTGTAATCCCAGCTACTCAGGAGGCTGAGGCAGGAGAATTGCTTGAATCCAGAAGGTGGAGGTTGCAGCGAGCCGGGATCTTGCCACTGCACTCCAGCCTGGGTGACAGTGAGTGACTTCGTCTCAAAAAAAAAAAAAGAAAAGAAAAAAGAAAAACTTCAGCCCTGTTTTGAAGGCCATCCCACTATTCAGTAAGGCCCACCCAGATTTTCTAGGGTAACCTCTCTTATTAAGGTTAAGTGGTTAATGGCTTTAATCACATATGCAAAATACCTTCATAGCATGACATAGGTAAGTGTTCGACTAACTGGAGACTGTAGTCTAGTCAAATTGACACATTAAAACATCAACAAAAGTCGTTTTTTAAAAATTCTGATACTTAGGTGTAAACCTAACAAACATCTGCATGACCTCTGCATTGAAAACTACAAAATATTAGGAAAGAAATGTTAAAAGACATAAATACATGAAGGGTTATACCATGTTCACAAACTGGAAGGCTCAATATTGTAAAGCTAACAGTGCTTCCCAAATTTAACTGTAAATTAACGTAATCCCAATTTTATTCCTAGCAAATTTTGAATCGATATTGGAATTAACAAAAAAAATTCTAAAATTTATATAAAAATGCAAAAGGCCAAAATTAACCAAAATAATCATTTCGTTTCTTGTTGAAGAAAGCTTATACTCTAGATATTAAGACTTATGGAGTGATAATTATTAAAACAGTATATATTGCCATAAAAGAAGAGACTGATAGATTCATGGAACAGAATGGAGTCTGGGAACTGAAACACACACATGAGGTTAACTGATTTATGATGAAGAGGCCACTCACTACAATGCAGTGGGGAAATCACAGAATTTTCTACAAATGGTTCTGGCTCAACTGGATAGCTATGGGGAAAAAAATCTTTATTCTTACCTCATATCATATACACACAGGAAAATCTGTCCAAGAGGGACTGTAGATCTGAATGTGAAAGGTAAAACAATACAACTTTTAGAAGAAAACATGAGAGTATCTTCATGACTTTGGAGCAGGCAAAAATTTTACAAATAGGACACAAGAAGCGCTAGGTATATAAGTATAATTATATATTTTTTAAACATATATATTAAGATTTTCTGTTCATCAAAGGGCACCATTTAATCATTTCATGATGTATATGTATATCAAAACATCACACCATACACCTTAAATATATATAATAAAAATAATAATTGTTTTAGCAGACTAAAAAAAAGGGCACCATTAAGAACCAATAGAGTGCATAAATAGGTCCATATGTAAATAATCAATTGATTTTGGCAAATACGCCAAGATAATTCAATGGGAAAAAGAAAATGGTACTGAAATAATTGAATCACCATATAACAAAAAATGATCTTTGAATCCTACCTCACACCTTTAAAATACAAATGTTCAAGATATATCACATGTATCACATACCTCAATGTAAAAGCTAAAACTATGTGCAGGTAATGGTCTGGCTCTTGATCTGGATGCTAGTTGCAGGGTTATGTTTTCAAGCTATACACTACACTTTGTTGTATGTTTACTGTAATTCTATTAAAAGAAAACACTATGTACAATCATGCACCACATAACAACATCTGGGTGGATGATGGAAGATTACAGTAAGATTGTAATCTTATAAAATAATACCGTATTTTAACTGTACTGTTCCTCTGTTTAGGTATGTTTAGATACACAGATACTCACCACTGTTACAACTGCCTATTCACTACAGTAATATGCTGTACAGGTTTGTAGCCTATACCATATAGCCTGGATGTGTAGTTGGCTATACTAAGTTTGTGTATATACACTCCATGATGTTTGCACAAAGAAAGTGCCTAATGACGCATTTCTCAGAATGTATGGCCATCATTAAGCGATGCATGACTCTGTATGTATATATGTATGTGTATATGTATACAATCATATGTATATGTGTGCATGTGTGTATGTGTGTACACTCGTATACATGCATATATGTATTTTACATTGAGGTATGTGATACATCTTGAACATTTGTATATGCATACACGCATATATGTAAAAGCTAAAACTATGTGCAGGTAATGGCCTGGCTCTTGATCTGGATGTGTATATATGCGTGTATACATACTTACAAACATATATTTTATATATACACACACAAATATATATACACATATAAGGGTGTGTATGTGTCCATGTGTATTTGCTTCAAGCCCCACCCAATGTTCCAATATTACCAACCGTTTCTCACACCCTAATTCCACAAGGCTAGAAGTACTCTCCCCTACCTTGAACTTTAATTGTATTTATTTGTAACTCCCTTACGCTGCATCTTTCTTTCTTTCCTATAGTAATGTTGCCAGGATAGATTGTCTTTCCTCTACTAGACTGTAAATATATCCATCAAAGTTTTGGCCAGAGCAAGTGCTCAGTAATTTCATGAAGGAAAGAATAAAACCTTAGTTTAGTTTTAAAACAAGCCTGACTCCTCAGTTTTTCTTTTTAAGCAGCCATTATAACATCAAACTATTTCCTCTGATTAAATGAATTACGGATAAAGCCCAGTGTGAATTAATTTCAGGCATAAATTCTACAATTTTTTATACATAGTCCACCTTGTATATTTTAATAAAGCAATATGACTGGTAATTTTTAAGCAATTGATATCTATAGATTTTAATTTCTAAATTAAGATATATATTTCAACATAAAACAGTAGTCACTATTGGATAGAGAGAGAAAAGCATTAGAGTCTGGTGGTCAATACCTTTAGTAGGTATCTGAACTACCGTAGCACGTCACGTTAAACTGTTACTCAGTCCACTTTCCTCCCTAGACTTGGAGCCCCTCAAAGACAGGAACTACATCTTATTCTTTTTGCACGTCCAAGGTCAATTACAGATCTTTGCTCTGTGTGTACATATAGTACTCACAAATCATATATTTTATTTATATATATATATATATATATATATATAGTTTTTTTTTTTTTTGAGACAGAGTTTTGCTCTTGTTGCCCAGACTCGAGTACAATGGCGTGATCTCGGCTCACCACAACCTCCGCCTCCCAGGTTCAAGCGATTCTCCTGCCTCAGCCTCCCGAGTAGCTGGGATTACAGGCATGTGCCACCACGCCCAGCTAATTTTGTATTTTAAGTAGAAATGGGGTTTCTCCATGTTGGTCAGGCTGGTCTCGAACTCCCAACCTCAGGTGATCCGCCCGCCTCAGCCTCCCAAAGTGCTGGGATTACAGGCGTGAGTCACCACACCCAGCCAAAATATTTTTGATAAGATAAATAATAGAATGAGTGACTTCAAATAAGGAGATCTTCATTTTAAGCCCTGCCTAGCTTTGAAGTCTTCCTGTATGCCTAACAAAGAAAGTATTTCTTTCCTTCCTTCCTCATTCTCTCCTTTTCTACCTACAATAGCAATAATAACAATAATACTGCCATGAAAATTATAATTTCTACATTGAGTCTTCTTACCAATGTACTTTTTCTTCTTATCACACATTATACTATTTCAAAGCAACAGTGACATCTGTTTTGGGAAAAGTTGAGTCTTAGGACTCTCCTGTGTCCTGGTATGTTTGAACATAAATACTTAAGATCAGCTAGGGTTAATAGGTCCCAGATAAGTGTCATGTCCATCATTTCACCCTGCCCTTTAAATCACTGGTCTCTCTAAATATTTTGGGGTTGCAAATATATTTTCTTTCAAATGTAACTCCCGTTGATTGAGATATCTTGGGTTCCTCTATTGAGATTCTGAAGTTACCTTCAGTCTCAGCAAGACAGAATGCTACAATTAATTAGTAAGGGAAGATGAACGATTGGTATGCATGCTATATTCCTGCCATCCCTTTTCCGTGGCCCTAAATTATCTAATGCCAAAGTGAAAATTCAAATATCCATTCATTTATTCATTGTTTCCTCCATCCATTCAAGATACACATACTGAGCACTATGCTAGGCCCATAATGGCCAATGTGATTACAGAACTAGCTAAGAACTCTAGAATAACACTTACTCATAGGTCATTTTGATAAAGATAATTTTCTTATTGTTTGTATAATCAATTTAATGGTATTGATTAGTAAGAGTTCATTGGCCAGGCCTGTGTTAAATAATACTATTGTCTTTTAAATATGCTATTCCATTTATCTTAAAAAGCATTCCTGTTAATTGCAGGGGCACAGATGTTTCTATACCCCTTTTACACATAAGAAACTGAGGCATAATAAGAGCATGATGTAGCAAAACAGATCATTGGATTTGGGTTTCTCTAATCATAAAATGTTATGTTAAAAAAATGTCCTGGTAATCATTCTAGTTTCTCCACAATAATGTTCTGTTTTTGTGACCTCCCAAGAAATGCCCCTTTCATGAACTCATTCACTGCATGCCTAGACTTTGCTAAGTATGGAAAGGTCAGCACTCAAATGTTGGCAGGGAGTAAATTTAAGTAAAATTGAGAAAGTGGCACTATAATTGTAACTGCCTTTAGGAAATGCAGAGTTTAAATAGTTGTATTTTCTTCTTTCCTCCCTTTTGAGTGTGCTTTTTGATTCAGATGTCGGAAAGCCATAGAAATTTTTAAAAATAATAATGTATTATACAACTGCAACCTTTGCAGCTGATCACCTAAGGTATCTATTTTTTTTTTAAAAAAAAAAGGTGTGTGAGTGTGCGTGAAAGAGAGCACACAACAGAGAAAGAGGAAGAGTTGAAACAGTGTGTGTGTGTGTGTGTGTGTGTAATATGAAGCAAAAGGAGGAAGAAAGCTTACACAGAAATCCCGCAGGAACAGAGCCCAGGGTGCTATTCTCTTTTCTTTGCATAAGAACCACAGGGCACTACGAATGACCAGAGAGTAAAAGTCTTTGATTCTCTGCAACCCTAGGTCATGCCGTGTAGATAGAATAAACCCTAAGATTTGGGTAATTTATTTTAAAAACCTGGTACTTTGTACCAGCTTGAGAGCTGGTTACCCCTCCTTGAAACCAAACTTTCATTTTCTAATTTTATTTTCCAGGCAACTTCCCATGAAAAAAAATTAGGAGAAAGTGTATTTCCTGGCGCTGTGTCAAGCTCTCAGGAATGAATATTTGGATAGATAAGGCAAGTACATCACTAAGATCAAATGACGTCTCTGCTCTAATCTAAATTCAACCAATTTTAAATTTCAGGGTTCCAAGTTGTTTTTAGGTCCTATCTTTAGAGTCACTCCTTTCAATGATATATCATTTCCTCCAGGTTGAGATTTTTAAAATATTGCTCAATTATTTCCTAGTAAAACACTATTGCCTAGGTGTTTCTTAAGGAATTTCCTGACTCTTGGAAATTATTGGTCTACCAAACATTTGTGAATGTAATTAATTCATTTTCTTGATTTCATCGGTGTGATATCACATGTACAAATTATAATATACAGATCTGCTTTCTGGCAGGGAGCACCATGTGTTTAGCACAGCAATCTATCATACCACACACACATTATTCATTAAAACTAAGGGACATCATGTGCATAAAACCCACTCATTAATTGGAAAATTAAACTCCCTTGTGTATAAATAAATCACACCCTCAGCTATATAAAGGCACTTATTTTTATCTTTAAATTTGTATTTTAGTGATTGTTTAAGAAATGCAATCGGATTGGTCTATAATATCTTTTACCGTAGCAAAGATTTGGCTGTGGTGAAAACAAACTCCACATCATCCAAAAGTCTGTCTTTCTTTTGGTTACTAACATTCCAAGTGTAGCCAAAAGACACACGGTTGAAGTTTAGAAACATTCTGCAGGCTGATAAAAATGCAAGTAGGTCCTCTAAGTAGGAAAAACTTTTGGCCGAGTTTCAGGGAAAAAGGCTTCTTAAACTCAAAATACCACCTTTACCTGTTTCTTTACCTGAAATGCCCAGTGAACCATCACCAGTCCCTCTGTTGTGATTTCTCAGCTGTAAAGTGAGATACTAATAAGACCTATCTCGTTAGGCTGTTGGGAAGACTTAATGAAATGACAGACACGAAAGGCTTCCCATAGGATCTGGTAGACAGAGGCTACAAAAGAAGGATGAGATGATCCACCACTTTAATCACGGTAACTCATGACAACACGGTCCTACTATGTGTCAGTCACTCTACAGAATGCTTGTCTTACCTTATCTCAAATTAATCCTCACAATTCTGACAGAGAGTTATGATTATTCCCAACGTACACATGAAAGACGGTTACAGTTCATAGGAATCGGGCTCAGGGAGGTCAACCAGCTCTCTCAAGGTCACACAGATTCTTATGCAAGGATTCTGTGTGATTATGGTCTTGCTCTTTCCCTGATCAGAATAAGCTGAAGTATACATGCAGAAATAGGAGATTTTTTGTCCTAGAAAAATATCCAACGTCCCATAAATTACCATGATGTCCTTTTTTGTAGCTTCTCAGGGAATCCTTGAAGATAGCAGTTTTAGAAAACTGAAAAATATTTTTGAATAATATAGCTAAGTATAGAGATAGATTCAATGACAGAAACTAGAATATTAAGCATCTTCAGCATCAAATAAATGAGTGCTGAGCAACTGTGGAACCTTGCAAGCTCTCTCAGCTCACACTTGCCTTGCTTCACATATGGGGGGGAAGAGAAATCCAGTTACATTCTTCTATTTGTTTGTCAACATTTCCTAATACAACTGCCAAAATGTCAACCTAGACTTTTTAGAAAAAGAAAGAAAAGGATTGGGTTAAAATAAGTAACTACAAAAGAACGAGGATGATTTTATCCACATTTATACAGCTATTTTAAAAATGTTTAATCATAATATGATTAGTGTTTGGAAAGATTTGTCTAGTTTAAAAATAGTTTTAAAGTTGTGAAAAAAATGTTTTAAATAAATAAGAGGCTCTGAGAACCATCTAGCATTTACAACATTGTTAAGAACTGATTGAAGTGTCATTTAAGTAATGCTTCTGAAATTTCCTGCACAAACTAGTGCCTTTATATGTGGACATAAACAGTTTCTCCATTGCAAACAACACGTCTTTGCTTTAAACAAAGATGAATCCTTCAAACGGAGATTAGTATCAGTGTTTCTTCAACACATAGTAAAAATTCATTATGACTTTCTCTATTAATGTATCCTTGCATAATTTATTTTACATTTGGACACAAGAAAATGCTGTAAAAATTTATTTGGAAAAAAATGCAGTTTATTGTAGTCTGAAAAAATTTTCCATATATGCACTGCAGCTCTTCCTAGATACATCAATTAACGGAAGACTTTTAAAAACAGTTTTAACTAAAAAAAATAAAGAACATTAATAATATTTTGGGTTTTTTTCTTCCTCAAACTCAATACAGCCATATTCTTTGATTGGTACATTTTTGTATTTGTTACCACTCGGTATACCTAGGAATCTAAAATGCTGGCATTCTGAAACATAACCATTAGGATAGTTGTTACATATTTAATTTCATGCTCCACTCAGCATAAAGCAGTTGTGGGACTACAGACCAAAGCAAATTAAGTGGCTTCTTAGATAATTTCCTGCTTAATTGAAAGCAGGTAGCTTTTTAAAAGTAATAGTTGGTTTTGTTTCAAATGATTGTAAAGTTATTTTTTTTGAATACATGGTTATAGAATAACTTTCTACTTAATCCAAACACAATGAGTTGGGAGTCTCCCACTGAGTCTAAGGGACAAGAAAGTGACCTAGTTCTGGTAGCAAATAAATGGGGGTAGGAGTGGATGTGGGACATGGGGCAAGGCAGGGGAAGAATGGCATGGTGTTTGGGTTGGAACACACACAGACATGCACATGCATATGTATGTACAGTTACACCAGTTACACAAGTTCAGGTTGAATATCCCTTATCTGAAATACTTGGGACTAGAGGTTTTTCAAATTTTTTTGGATTTTGGAATATTTGCATATACATAATGAGATTATCTTGTGATGCTCCCCAAGCCTAAGCACTAAATTCATTTATGCTTCACATATACCTTATACACATAGCCTAAAGGTAATTTTATATAATATTTTAAATAATTTTGTGCATGAAACAGAGTTTTGACAGCAACTCACTACATGAGGTCAGGTGTGGAATGTTCCACTTGTGGTGTCATGTCAGAGCGCAAAAAATTTCAAATTTTGGAGCATTTCAGATTTTTGATTTTTGAATTATGGATGCTGTGTGTGTGTGTGTGTGCACACGTGTACACATATATATTTATCATTAACATATACAATAGATTGGGTTTCATTTCTGTCTGCTCTACTCTTACCATTGGTCTAATGTTAACAAGTGGTCTATTATGAGATTGATTGCCCTGGTTCATACCTTCCAGACAGGTTTTCCTTATTACAGTGTAAAAACAAACTATCTGATATGATGGTCTATCATCACATAGAAATAAGAGTATCAGCTGTGATGCTCTATCTTGCTTTTGGAGATACAGTCCAAGGAGCATGAATGTGAGCACACTAATAAAGAGACATGAAAAGAATTCGGTTAACATAAATGCCTATATATTGGGGGGACAATAGAATTCTCTTTTGTCAGGAGTCAGTATTCAGAGTTTTTCGTTTTTGTTTTGTTTTTGAAATGGAGTTTCGCTCTTGTTGCCAAGGCTGGAGTGCAATGGTGTGACCTCAGCTCACTGCAACCTCTACCTCCCGGGTTCAAATGATTCTCCTGCCTCAGCTCCCAAGTAGCTGGGATTACAGGTACCTGCCATCATGCCTGGCTAATTTTTTGTATTTTTAGTAGAGACGGGGTTTCATCATGTTGGCTGGTCTCGAACTCCCGACCTCAGGTGGTCCACCCACCTCGGCCTCCCAAAGTGCTGGAATTACAGGTGTGACCCACGGCATCCAGCCTCAGAGTTTTTCAAATAAATTAGAAAAAGCTTTTAAGTCACAAAAAAAAAGAGAATGTTTTCTTGTTGCATACATTGAACAGAATAAGAGAGACAGAGACAGACAAATGAAAAGGTATTCTTCAGAACCAAAAATTTTAAAAAACTGCAAGAAAAAAACATATACTGAATTTTTACATTCATCAATTGCCATGGTGATTCATGCAACTGATAACAGTGAGCATCAGCACCCTAGAGCTATGGAGTAAGTGCTAAGAGATGCGCTTTTGGTATTTAATGAAATTCTAACTTGCCTGCAGTTTTTTTTGTTTTGTTTTGTTTTTGTCGCTGCTACTTTGGATCACTGCTGTCAACCAGGCTGCACTTGGAACCACTAGCTATGCAGTTACAGTGCAATGTATTAACAAATCCATTTTTATTTTTCAATACTTAGAACCACCCTGTAGTACTAAATGCTTGGTTTCCCATTTTTGTGGCATTCCCAAGAATATTTTTAACAGTCATTTTTAAAATGTCAAAGGAAGGAAAGAAGAAAGGAAGAGAAGGAGAAGGGAGGGAGGACAGAAGAAGGCAGGGCTTCCAGCAGAGGAGCCATGAGTGAGTCTTGTAGTCATGCTGGAAATAAATGTTCACCAGCTATTTCAGTGTTCCACCCTCATAACAGACTTCGTTTCCCTACCTACTTGAAGTTGGGCATGGTAATGCATGTGTTTTGGTCCTTGGAAAATCTCAATTGACGTTTATCAATTCCACCAGGCAGAAGCCTTTCTGGATGTATCTTGCTTCCCCCCCCCCCCTTCCTTGTGCCACAGCCACCAACTCTCTTAAGACAGTAGAGGTCCATCGGCCTCACTCAAACCTGGAAGGAGAAAACATTTAGCCAACCCATCATGGATATGTAGCAGGAGCAAGACATAGATCTTTGTTTCTATGAGCAACTAAGATTTCACTGCAACATAACCTAACCCTAATTAATATAGCAGGTGATGGGAGAGAAATAGGAATTCAACTTGTAGCAGCAATTGTCATAAAATTGAAAAGAGAAAACAAGGTGAAAAGAAAAAGATGGCATAAGAGAATATGAAGTTCTAGAATGAAGATGAAACTGAAAATTCAAATACTGGCAATAACTGGTCAAGAAACAAAGAACAATGCTAACAGAATTCTATCAGTTACCCCATAAAGCATAGAGAAAACAGTCCTGGGGAATATTAGTTTTGAGACTCAGGAGAATATTTTATGTCTCCTTTGACCTATTTTAGCATTCTTCCAACATGACTTCCCTTAATGCTCAATAGAATTTTTCAGAAATTCCTGAAGGAAAAATGAGCATAAGTTGGTTGTCGCTTGAGTGTGTTCTATGAAAGACAGGAAGATGGTTGCGTTTCTCACTTTAGGATCTGAATCAATGGTGGTACTGTTCAATGAGATGGAGAACACAGAAGGGAGATGAATTAGGATATGCTGAGATTGAAAAGCCTGTGTGACATCCAAATGGAGACATCCAGTGGTAACTGCAGATTCAATAAATGAGTTCGAATCTGTTAGCTTTTTCTTAAGACCAGCATTATGGAATTGGATAAGATTATCCAAGGTCAGTATATATGAGAAAAAGAGGGCAGAACCTCAAATTACAACAACATTTAAGGAATACGTAAGAAAAAAAAACCCTCAAAAGAAAATTAGAAAGTACAGTCAGAGAAATAGGAAGAACTTTACCTACTAAAATTTCCAGGCCCTAACCTTAACCTCAAACTTTTCTCCCAGTCTTTCACTTCCTGCTCATGGTTTTACTTCCGTGTCTATTCTACTACCATAACCAATCACTTTTACCTATCATTTTGTATTCTCAATAGTCTTTCTTCTTGACTTACACCACTACCCTATCATACCTGGATCATTTTTAAAAATTCACATTTCTATTCTTACAAGGATATCTTCCTTACAACTATTTTTCTAGCTATTCCTGAGCCTAAAGAGTTAAGAGGCTTCCAGAGTAACTCCTCTGACTCAAATACTCAGCCCAATTGTTTGGCTTCCTTAATCACTATTCAGGTAATATATAGAGCATGACCACAGGAAGAAAGAACTAATATTTGAACATATATTATGTGTTAGTCATGCACTGTGGTGGGTCTTTTATATATAACATATTTACTCTTAACAATATCATGAATTTTTATTGACCTTAAGAAAGTTAAGAATTTTGACCAAGATCTCATTGCAATACAGATATTCTGCCTCCAAAAGCCTTGTCCACACCACCAGGCTCAGCTGCCTTCCAAATAATAATGCATTGCTCCTCTCTTCAAAATATTTTCACTGTTTGGGCAAGAGAAAGTCCACATATGCTAAAATTATTTTAAAGCTGTTTCAAATCCAACAGAAGTAGAAACTGATACCCCTTCACAATGAAGGGGAGAGACTATAATCTTTGTGTTAAACAGGCATAGCTAGGTTGTTTTTAACCCGGGCTGTACTTTTTAGAATCATCTACTTTTGAAAGCAATGGGTCTTCAATTTTCAGAAAGATGGAGCAGTGTTCCATCTATTTCAGACATAAGAAGGTTGAAGACAAGGTGAACAGAGGGCGGCAAATCAGCTAGGGAACTTGGGACCCGATGAACAACAGGTGGTGAGTGCTCTGAGTTAATTTTTTGCCTCAAATATCCCAGATTAGGTGCTGGAGAAGACAGAAACCCAGAAATACCAACAAGTATCAACCCAAAAAGCCTCAACAGAAACCTGCCCTCTCTAGAAAAAGGATAAGCAAAATGGCTACCTAGCCAGACAGAAGATGCTTGGACAGTAACAGCCAAACACCACAGAGAAAACTGTGGCCTCACCTCCACCCCCACCAGCAAAAACTGAGTGGGAGGCTCCATTTCCACCTTTGCCAGATACCCCAAAACTCCTATCCAAGTGGTGTCATAGAGGAAAAGCAGAGAGCTAGGAACTTCATCTCCACCAGGCAATAAGGAGTCTTCACCACCACCACCACACTGATGGTGCTCATGGAGACCACATGGAGAGTATGGACTTCCATCCCATCCTGCAGTAATAAAATGCTCCTCCCCACCTCACTGGAGTGGCATCAGAAGAAGTTAGTGGAGAGGTAGAACTTTCACTCCTGCCCAGCAGAAACCAGACCACCCCAACTCAACTCAACAATGTCAGTAGAGGCCAAGCAGTAATGAGTCTTCATGCCCCTCCCAGCCAGGATGATATCAACAGAGGTTTAATGGAGAACTAGAACTTCCACCCTTGCCCAGGAGTTACGAGGAGTCCCTCACACCCAGTTATTAACATTGGCATGGATTTCTATTTCCGCTTGGCAGCAATAAAGCAGCACCACCATAAAAATGTTTTAATGAGTAATTATGAACATGCCCAAAACAAATGGAAAAAAAATTAAAAGTCTCAGCAAGGAAAACAAAGATATAAATAAGAACCAAAAGGAAATTGTGTTAGTGGAAAGACAGCAGAATTAAAAACTCAATGGATGACCTAAACAGCAGAATGAAGGGAACAAAAAAAGGAATCAGTAAACTTGAAGACAACAATAAAAATTACCCAATCTGAAAGCAGAGAGAAAACTGATATTTTAAAAAATGAGCAGGGCCTTTGGGACCAGTAGGATTATAACAAAACATCTAATATAACTTTAAAGACTAGGAAGGAGAGAAGAAAAAGGGTGTGGCTGAAAAGTATTTGAAAAAATAACAACTGAAAACTCCCCAAATTTAGCCAAAGCATAAACTAACAGATTCATAAAACTATCAATGAATGCCAAGAAGGATAAACGCAAAGAAATCACTACTGAAGCACATTATAGTCAAACTTCTGAAAATAAAGACGGAAAAAGTCTTGAAAGTGGCAACAGCAAATAATACCTTATTTATAGGGGAAAAAAATTTAAATGACAGATTTCTCAACAAGAAACATGGGGGCCATAAGGAAGTGGCATAACATTTTTCAAGTACTAAAAGAATTGTCATCTCAAAATTCTATATCCAGCAAAAATATCCTTCAATAATGAAGGAAAAATCAAGACATTTTCAGTTGAAGGACAACTAAGATAGTTTGTCACCAACAGACCTATTTAAAAGAATAACTAAAGACGATGGGCATGGTGGAACACACCTGTAATCCCAGTACTTCTGGAGGCTGAGGTGGAAAGATCGCTTGAAGCCAGAAGTTCAAGACCAGCCTGGGCAACAAAGCAAGACCCCATCTGTACAAAAAATTTAAAAAGCTGGCTAGGGTGGTGGTGCTACGTTGGAGGGTGAAGAGAGGATTGCTTGAGTGCAAGAGTGTGAAGCTGTAGTGAGCTATGATTGCAGGACTGAACTCCAGCCTGGCTGAGAGAGAAAGATCTTGTCAAAAAAAAAAAAAAAAAAAGCGAAAAGAGTTCTCTAAACAGAAAGAAAATGATAATTAAAAACAGAAAACTTGTAACATCAAGAAGAAAGAAAGAAGACAGAAATCATAAAAAAAACCATGGGAAAATATAATAGGTTTTCTTTCTCCTCTTGAGCTTTCTAAGTATTTGACTACTGAGACAAAGATTATAACACTATCTGGTAGGGTTCTAAATGTATGTACAGGAGATACTTAAGACAATTATATTGCATATTTATATTATAAAGTGAAGGGATATGAAGGGAGGGAAGACTTTAACACTTCACTTGAACTGGTACTCCATTAACACCAATAGAGTTAGTAAGCTATAACTATAATACAGTAGCTACAGCAACTATTAAAAATGCTATATATTTGCACTCAAAAACACTATACATAAATCAAAACGGATTTTTAAAAAATGTTTAAGTAGCCCAAAGCAAGAAAGAGTTTAAAAAAAGGAAGACAGAGCAAATATTAAATAAAATAGGAAACAAAAGCATAAACGTATATCAATAATTACATTTAATGTAAATGATCTAAATATAACTATTAATAAAATGAGATCACAGAATGAATTTTAAAAAAAGAGATGACCCAACTATATGCTATCTACAAGAAGCTCACTTCAAATATAATGAAATAGGTTGAAAGTAAAAGTATAAAAAAAAGTCATGAAAGTATTTGAAGAAAGCAGGGATGGCTATATTAAAAGAAAATAGACTTCAAAGCAAAGGACAAGAGACAGAGAGAAATATAATTCACCAAAAAGAATTACATAAGCAATTCTAAGTGAACTGTATTAGCAATTCTAAGTGAGTATGCACCAAATAACAGACTTATAAAATATGTGAAGCAAAAACTGATAGAACTGAAGGGAGAATTAGATATATCCACAATTATAGTTGGGGACTTCAACACTCCTCTCTCAACAACTGATAAAACAATTGGATAGAAAATCAGCAAAGATATAAGAGAACCCAATAACATCGTCAAGCAACAGAAGCTAACTGACACTTCCAGAGCACCCCGCCCAACACTAGCAGCATTCTCTTTAAGCAATCACAGAGCATACACCAAGATAGATCATATCCATAACACAAACTCATGAAATTTAAAAGAATTAAATCATATGGAGTGTATCCTCTGACCATAATGAAATTAAAGTCGAAATCAGTAACAGAAAGATAATAGGAAAATAACCCAACACTTGGAAACTAAATTCCCTATAAAATAATCCATAGCTCAAAGAGGAAGTCTAAGTGGAAATCAAAACATACACTGAACTGAATGAAAATAAAAACACAACATATCAAAATTTGTGGATGCAGCAAAAACACTGCTAAGAGGGAAACTTATAGAACTAAAAGCTTACATTAAAAAGCAAAAAAAATCTCAAATTAAAATCTAAGATTATACCTCAAGAGCATAGAAAAGGAAAAGAAAAACCCAAAGAAAGCAGAGAGAGGGAATAATAAAGAGAAAAGCAAAACTCAGTGAAATTGGAAACAGAAAATCAGTAAAAGATGGTTCTTTGGAAAAAAAAAAAAAATCAATAAAATGCACAAATCCCAATCAAGACTGACAAATTAAAAAGGAGAAAAAAACATAATATTAGGAAAGAAAGCAGGGATATTACTACAGATCCTGCAGATATCAAAGGGATAATGAGTAAATACCACATAAATTAGACAAAATTAGACAATAGATAAAATGACCCCATTCCTCAAAAAGCACACATTATCCCAACTCACACAATATGAAATAGATCATTTAAATAGCACTTTATTGAGAAAACTGAATTCATAATTTTTAAATTACAGAAAAAGAAAACTCCAGGGCCCGCCAGATTGTTTTACCACACTATTCTAACAAATGTTTAAAGAAGAATTAACACCAATTATACATATACTTTCCCCAAAAATAGAAGAGGCATGAACACTTCCCAATTTATTTTAGGAAGCCAATATTATCCTGCTATCCAAACCAACCAAAGATTGCATGAGAGAGAGAGAGACAGGGAGACAGAGATAAACAGAGACAGAGACAGAAACTACAGACTGATATCCTTCGTTAATATAAGTGCAACAATCAACAAAATATTAGCAAATGGCCTTCAGCACTATATCAACACAGAATTATATACCATGAGCTAGCATCCTAGGGATGAAAGACTGATTTAACATTCAAAAATCAATCAATATATTAATAATCTACCATATTCACAAGCTAAAGGGAAACAAATCATGATTCATCAGTTGATGCAGAAAAAGTACTTAACAAAATTCAACATCCATTCATAATACAAATTCTCAGAAAACTGGGAATGCAGGGAACTTCCTCAAACTGACTTTTTAAAAACTTGAAGAAAAAAAAACCCTACAACTAATATTATACTTAATACGAAAGACTGAATGCTGGCCTGGCATGGTGGCTGTAATCCCAGCACTTTGGGAGGCCGAGATGGGCAGATCACCTGAGGTCAGGAGTTCCAGACCACCCTGGCCAACATGGCAAAACCCCATCTCTACTAACAATACAAAAATTAGCTAGGCGTGGTGGCACACACCTGTAGTTCAGCTACTTGGGAGGCTGAGGTGGGAGAATCACTTGAATCCGGGAGACAGAGGTTGCAGTGAGCTGAGATCACACACTGCATTCCAGCCTGGGTGAGAGAGAAAGACTTGATCTCAAAAAAAAAAAAAAAAAAAAAAAAAAAAGACTGAATGCTTTCTCCCTAAGCTCAGGAACAAAACAAGGATGTCCCACCTCACCACAACACAATATTGGAAGTTCTAGCCAGCACAATAAGGCAAGAAAAGGAAATGCAAGGAAGAACTAAAACTGTTGCTATTTGCAGATGACAGGTTTCCCTACGTTGTAAAAAAAAAAAAAAAAAAAAAAAAAAATCCAAGAAACCTTCAAAAACAAAAAACCCCAAAACAACAAAACTCCTAGAGCCAATAAGTTCAGCAAAGTCACAGAAGGATCAACATACAAAAGTCAACTATACTTTTATACACTGGGTCCTACTTGAGTATAGAGTGGGAGGAGGGGGTGGATTGAAAAACTACCCATCAGGTACTGTGCTTATTACCTAGTGATGAAATAATCTATATGCCAACTCCCCATGATGCATTATTTCTTATATAACAAACTAGCACATGTACTCCAAACCTAAAAGTTAAAGAAAAAAAATTAAAAACTTGGATTTTATTAAAATTAAAAACTTTTTCTCTCCAAAAGATCCTTTTTTTTTTTTTTTTTTTTTTTTTTTTGGGGAGATGGAGTTTTGCTCTTGTTGTCCAGGCTGGAGTACAACTGCGCGATCTTGGCTCACTGCAACCTCCGCCTCCCAGATTCAAGCAACTCTCCTGCCTCAGCCTCCCGAGTAGCTGGGATTACAGGCATGCGCCATCAGGCCCGGCTAATTTTTGTATTTTTAGTAGAGACGGAGTTTCTCCATGCTGGTCAGCCTGGTCTCGAACTCCCGACTCAGGTGATTCACCCGCCTAAGTCTCCCAAAGTGCTGGGATTACAGGCGTGAGCCACCGGATGTGGCCCAAAAGATCCAAAAGACAGCAAAAACACTGGGAAAAACTATTTGCAAACCACATCTCTCAGGGGTCCCCAAGTCCTGGGCCTCAGACTGGTACAGGTCAATGGCCTGTTAGGAAGCTGGCAACACAGCAGGAGTTAAGCACCTCCTGAGCCAGCCTCACCACCTGAGCTCTGTCTCCTGTCAGATCAGCCAGGGCATCAGATTCTCACAGGAGAGCGAACCCTATTGTGAACTGCGAATGCGAGGGATCTAGTTTGCATGCTCCTTATGAGAATCTAATGTCTGATGATCTTAAGTGGAACAGTTCCATCTGGAAACCATTTCCCCCACCACCCCCACTTCCGTGGAAAAAACTGTCTTCCACGAAACTTGTCCCTGAAGCCAAAAAGGTTGAGGACTGCTGATGTAACTGATAAAGGACTCATGTCTATAATTTAAAGAACCTTCAAAACTCAACAGTAACAGAACAAATCAAGAAAATAAGAAAATGACACGAAGAGGGATTTCACTGAAGAGGATATGTGTATGGCAAAGACATGAGAAAATGATCAACATCCCTAGTCATTAGGAAAATGCAAATTAAGACCAGAGTGAGGTATCACTGCACACCTAATCGGAACAGTAAAAGTAAAAAAATAGTGACAATACAAAATACTGGTAAGGATGTGGAAAAACTGGATCTCTCATATATGGCTGCTGGGAATGTAAAATAGTACCACATTTCTGGAAAATAGTTCAGCAGTTTCTTTAAAAATTAAACACATACTTACCATATGACCCAGCAATCACACTCCTGGACATTTATCCCAGAGAAATGAAAATTTAGGTCCACAGAAAAACCTGCAAGCAATTTTTCAAGACAGTTTTATTTGTAATAGGCACTCCCCCCGCCCAAAAAAAGAAGGAACCAAAATGTATGATAGGTGAATGCTGAATGATTAAACAAACTGTGTTACACCCATAGTGTAGAACTCAGTAACAGAAAGGAACAAACTAGAAATACCTGCAATAACTTGGATAAATCTCTAGGGCATTCTGCTGAGTTGGGTGGGGTGGGGGGGTGGGGGGGATGGTGAGCTAATCTTAGAAGGTCACAAGCTGTGAGGACCAATTTATAAAACATTCCCCAAACGACAAAATTATAGAAATGGAGAACAGACTGATGGTTGCAAAGGGTTAGGGATGGTGTGGGGGAAAGAAAGGGACGACCATAAAGGGACTGTATGAGAGAGATCTTCGTGGTGTTGAAATAGTTTGTATTTTGATTGTGGTAATGATTACAAGAGTCTTCAGGGATAAGGTGACACAGAATCACAGGCACATTTTATCTCAGTGTCAATGTCCTGGCTTTATTATTGTGCTCTAGCTATGCGGGATGTAACCAACAGTGGAGGCTCTATCAGACCTCTCTGTACTATCTTTGCAACTTCCTGTAAGTCTACATTCAAATAAAAAGTTAAAAAAATCGGTGCCCAGGCCACATCCCAAACCTTGTAAATTAAAATATCTAGGGGAAGAACCTAAACAACTGCATTTTTTTTTTAAATGCACGAGGTAATTTTAAAGTGTAGCTAGAGTTAGGAACCACCGCCAGCTGGTATTATTACCGAAACTACAAGCAGGTGGAACACCTGTAAGTCTGGTGGAAGATGATAAGGAAGGAGAAAACTAAATATACAAATCTATGTTAGGTTTCTTGAGGGTTTTATTCTCCTAACGTTAAAACCTAGTATTAAGTGAATCCAAATAATGTGGATGGGATAATCAGTCATCCATTATGATACAGACCATTTTACACAAAATAGGCCAGCCCCAATAGACTATTCTTTAGATTCTTAAGCATTTGGTATCGATGTTACAATTTTAAAATGCTAAAAAGCAATTATAATCACATTTAAATATGCAGCAATTTTAGAAAATCAATGTTTCACCGAGTTTCTCATTTTAGATGAATAACAAAATGAGTTCAAATTTTTATTTGTGTTGACTACCACCAGCAGCGACCCGTGGGAAGTAAGTGAAAAGCAAGTATTCCTATTTTGACTACACATTCTAATGTATTGGTTATTTATATTTATGATCACCAACTATTATCTATTAGACTTCTCCGGATTTAACTGTTTAGGAAGTGAGCTGTAGACATACAGAAACCAAGGATTATTTTGAGCCAATAAACAGTGACTTGACCAACCGAATGCCTTGTGTGGTTATTAATCATTCCATATCACCATCATCAAAAGACACTGTGCATCTACTCAGCTGGGCCAGGGGATTAAAGGTTTACGAAAGAGTCCCTCCTTGCCTTTAAACGGTTTAAAGTCTGTTTGAGGATGGGTCCAAATACATAAAATGATGAATAACAAAGCGAAGAACATGCTGAAATCTGGACTGACAAAAGAAAAGGGCCAAAGGGCTTGTTTTTACTGGAAGTATTTTTGCATAAGCTGGGAAGGGAGTTTGCATCTTCTGGACTCATAGATCAGACAAATGAGCAGCTTCAACAAAGCAGATTTATGCTATCCACCAGGAGGGTTTTGCTTAGTTGTCAGTTGTGGACTTTCTTCCAAAAATGCAGCTGTTTTGAAGCAAGAAATCTGGCACCAAAAAATAAATAAAATGAAAATTTAGAATAAGAATTACCTCCCACCCAACTCTAATCAACAGCTACGTCTCCCTTTCCTCCACCTTCAAGATTTAAAGGTCTGGGGTGGAAACTGGAGGTGTGGGGGGGCGAATGAGCTATTTGCCTTGCCCCAAGACCACCAATCTCCTGTGTGTGTGTCTCTCTCTCTCCAAATACGACCCTCACACACTCTCCAATTTACACTGCTACAACTTCCCAGATTTGTTTTACCTTCTGGAAAGATTTATCCATTTGGAAGCGTTCTTGAAGTTGCTAACTGTCGTGAAGTTCGATTTGAAAGCAAAACAATGACCGCGTTTTAACAGACAGTGCAAATTCTTTTTAAAAAAAAGTTGTTTTGTGATTATGGGAGATAATCAACAGCTACTCAGACATTCTTCTCTTAAACAGCTGAGGTTTATCATTTTCGCTATTATGACAATGAATTTTTTCCTCCTTTGCTTTCTGCCTTTTGGCAGGAGCCTCGACTCTGCAGGTGTTAGCGCTGTAAGGGCCGAACCCAACCGCCAGAATGTCTGCCGAGCCTAGCATGGGATGCTGCCCAGCAAAACAGCACCCAGGGAGAGGGCGACTGAGGAAGACAGCCTGCAAGCGCGCTTCAGAAAGGACTGGGACCAGAGCCCTAGAAAACTACAGCGAGTGGATTCCCTGGCAGGGGAAACCCGCGAGAGCCTGGGAAAAAAAAAAAAACGAGAGGGAGAGAAAAAAACTCACCCGGGCGCCCTGAAGCCCAGCGCAAGCAAGCGAGTGAGCGCGCAGGCTGGCTGGGCTGCTCCAGCTGGAAGTCATTGTGCGGGCTGGCGTCTGCGTTGTCAGGGCGACCGCCCGGCCGGCGCCAGCGGAGCGGGGGAGGCGGGCTCCGTGAATGGGTGACGTCACGCAGCCGGCGCCAGGCAGTCTGGGCGGCCGAGCCAATGAATCAGCTGTCCGGGGGAGGCAGCGCAGCGCGGCGCGCGGGAGCTGGGTGCAGGAATGCGCCTGGAGCCGCGCGGCCCGGGAGGGCGCGAGACGTCTCCGCCCGCCTGGTCGCCCCGCGGCGGCCAGAGGTCCCAGCGTCCCAGGCTCGGCCATTCCGGTGCCCCCCACGCCCAGTCTGCGGCTGTGCCCGCGTCCCTAGTTTTCCGCCGGTTACCCCCACGGGCGCGCGCTCTGCGGGGAGGCCCACGAGCTGGGGGGGCCGCTGGGGTGGTGTCAGGATGTTTTCACTTACTGCGACTGTGGCACTTATTTAAAAGGAAACATACAATAAAACTTGTCCTTGTAGATAAAATAGACTTTGAAAGTATTGATGAATTCACTGCCACCTTACTGTGCTCTCCGCATTGTGCTGGGTGTTGGGTATCACAAACAATGAAAGGACCAGGACTCGGAAGTTCCCAAAATTGAACTGGGTAGAAAAAAGTGTAAGGAACTCATGATTCAGACTTACAGCCGACTGCTCTTCCAATATTCTATAGTGTGGGACTATAGGGCGCCTTTAAGGTTCTAGAAGGCAAATGGCTCCAAAGATTTCCAATTTTTTGGTGTTTTTGTGTTTTGCATTACCTCTGTCCTGCTTTGCTCTCCATTACAGTGTCCTGTAGGTGGCCAAGTACTGGGTTAAGGTCATTTCAGTATGCCCAGCATTTGACGCTCTCCCTGACTCCTGGTAAGGACTGGACATTGTTGATGGGTAATCCACAATGCAAGAGCAAATAATTTTAAGGCTAGAGTAAAAGGAGTACTTCTGAATTCCTAAACATCTTTTTGGGTGCTTACTTGTTGGTTTCTGGTGGTTTTTCAAGAGTAGTGATGCATCATTACTGAAACTGGAAAACCAGAGTGTGGCCCAGACTCACATTATAGTAGATGTCGTTAAATCAGCCCTTCCTGCTGAAGTCTGTGCCCCCCTTTTTAAATCTGGAAGATGAGATCTGGTGAGATATTCTCTTAAGACTCATGAAGTTCTAGCAGTCTATCATTGTATTTATCAACCTTTCAAACGAATGACTTTATTCCTATCACAGTATGTGATATATGTGACATTCATTTAACAAACACTTCAGGGTCCCTGCTATGCAAATACTATGTACTGGAAGTTTTAACTGAAATTTTTTTGGAATAAAAGTTAAGGGCCTGGCGGCTCATGCCTGAATCCCAGCACTCTGTGGGGCCGAGGGAGAGTTCGAGACCAGCCTGACCAACATGGTGTCCGGAATTGGTGGGTTCTTGGTCTCACTTACCTCAAGAATGAAGCCGCAGACCCTCGCGGTGAGTGTTACAGTTCTTAAAGGCGGCGTGTCTGGAGTTTGTTCCTTCTGATGTGTTCAGTTTCTTCCTTCTGGTGGGTTCATGGTCTCGCTGGCTCAAGAGTGAAGCTACAGACCTTCCCCGTGAGTGTTACAGCTCATAAGGCGGCCTGTCTGGAGTTGTTCATTCCTTCTGGTGGGTTTGTGGTCTCGCTGGCTTCAAGAGTGAAGCTGTAGACCTTCACGGTGAGTAGCACACAGCTCATAAAGGCAGTGGGGACCCACAGAGTAAGCAGCAGCAAGACTTATTGCAAAGGGCGAAAGAATAAAGCTTCCACAGCACCTAAGCGGACACGAACGGCTTTTTACTGCTGGCTGGGGCAGCCTGCTTTTATTCTCTTACCTGGCCCCACCCACATCCTGCTAATTAGTCCATTTTACAGAGAGCTGAGTGGTCTGTTTGCGCTGATTGGTGCATTTACAACCCCTGAGCTAGACACAAAGGTTCTCCACATTCCCACTAGATGATGCTAGATACAGAGTGTCCACACAAAGGTTCTCCAAGTCCCCACCAGAGTAGCTAGATACAGAGTGTCCATTGATGCACTCACAAACCCTGAGCTAGACACAGGGTGCTGATTGGTGTGTTTACAAACCTCGAGCTAGATACAGAGTGCTGATTGGTGTATTTACAATCCCTTAGCTAGACATAAAGATTCTCCAAGTCCCCATCAGATTCAGGAGCCCAGGTGGCTTCACCCAGTGGATCCCGCACTGGGGCCGCAGGTGGAGCTGCCTACCAGTCCTGCGCAGTGGGCCCACACTCCTCAGCCGTTGGGTGGTGGATGGGACTGGGCACCATGGAGCAGGGGGCAGTGCTCATCAGGGAGGGTCAGGCCGCACAGGAGCCCACGGACGTCGGGGGAGGCTCAGGCATGGCGGGCTGCAGGTCCCAAGCCCTGCCCCGTGGGAAGGCAGCTAAGGCCCACCGAGAAATTGAGCACAGCAGCTGCTGGCCCAGGTGCTAAGCCCCTCACTGCCCGGGGCCGGCACCGCTGGTGGGCTGCTCTGAGTGCGGGGCCTGCCAAGCCCACGCCCACCTGGAACTCGCGCTGGCTCGCAAGCACCACCTGCAGCCCCAGTTCCCGCCCACGCCTCTCCCTCCACACCTCCCTGCCAGCTGAGGGAGCCGTCTCCGGCCTTGTCCAGCCCAGAAAGGGGCTCCCACAGTGCAGCAGTGGGCTGAAGGGCTCCTCAAGTGTCGCCAAAGTGGGAGCCCAGGCAGAGGAGGCGACGAGAGCGAGCAAGGGCTGTGAGGACTGCCAGCACGCTGTCACCTCTCAATGGTGAAACCCCATCTCTACTAAAAAAAAAAAAAACAAATTAGCTGGGTGTGGTGATGCACGCCTGTAGTCCCAGCTACTCAGAAGGCTGAGGCAGGGGAATCACTTGAAGGTGGCAGAGGTTGCAGTGAGCCGAGATGGTGCCACTTGCACTCCCACCTGGGCAACAGAGCAAGACTCCATCTCAAAAAAAAAAAGGGGAGAGAGAGAGAAAAAGAAAAGGAAGGAAGGAAGAAAGAAAGAGAGAAACTAGAAAACAAAGCAAGTGCTAATAAACGGGTATAGGCCAGTTTATCTTGATGTGCATGAAGTCACCTGGCAATTGGATGAAATGCAGAAGAGGCTTGGGATTCTGCATCTTTAACAAGCCCCCAAGTGATGTTGATATTGCTAACCCTGAACTGCACTTTGAATAAAGAGAATCTTGACCACAGAGTACCAAGGAAAGCATAAAGTAAGAATATAATGGATATAAAGTGGTCTGGGTTCCTAAAACCTGTGGAGAAGATGAGCTTGAGCCACGTGATTGTGCATATGATTGGCTGAGGGAATGAAAAAGCAGAAGAAACAGCATAAATAACAATTGCATTGGAAGGAAAGGAGCAAAAAATAAGTTGAGGGGTGAAGAAGATTTTGTCTGACTTCAATTAAAAATATTTAGGGAAACTATAAAAAATGGGATTGAAGATTTACTGGTGGGGTAAGACAACCTTAGAGGTTACCCAATTTAATTTGGTGTAGTTGAAACTGAGCAGCAGTACAATCTCATTAGATAATGGCAGAGCTCAGAATGGAAGCCGAACCTGAGAAATTTAGATGACAAATACCTTACACATAGAGTCTTTGATATAAGAAAAGCCACTTGTCATTGTTGTGCAAGGTGAAAATATGAGGGAAGAACGAAAACAAGCGAAGAGACCCATAGGAAATAATATTAATAGTCCAAGCATGGAGTTTTGGGGAAGGTTTGGTCTAGGGAAGATGAGAAAATATCAGGTGAAGAGGTGAATCAGAAAAATTTTGTGTTTGCATGAATTGTAATGGCTGCCACCAGCTGATTAAATCATCCATTTATGTAAGAAAAGGAAAAAACTTCCCTCCATCCCTCCCATGGTCCAATGAAGCATTTTTCAACCCTGACCTCACATCGGCATTACTATTTTTTTTCAGTGGGAATTCCTGAGCTCCACCCCACAGAAATTTAATCAGAATCTCTGGGAGTGGAGCCCTAGAATCAGTATTTTTAAAGCCTCCCTAGGTGATTATAATGGGCAGTCAGTGTTGAGAATCACTAATCTAATATACAGTCACCAGCTCATTTTGTAGGCTTCATTTCTGCCCCTGAACATTACCCCCAGTGTTAACTGTTATACTAGCACTAGATCATTTTTAATACTGGGTGTGTTTGGTGGTGGATTTTGATGGTTTATAGCACATTCTCTAAGCTCAATGTCTTCCATCCCTCATTAACTGTCATGGTTTAGTTGTGAACATACCCTGATATCTCTCATTGGCGAGAGAAGGAACAGTGATTTGGCACGTGACTGGATGGAAATGATAAACCTGGTTTATGAACCTATATGGTACCATAGTGTGGCAGTGCAGTTATTTTACTTGATTTTAGCTTTGCTTTAATAATCTACTTTAACAGCCTCTTTAGGTTTAGAACTGATGAATGAGCACTTAAAATAGCGACTTGGACCATTGGAACTTTTATTTTGCGTCTTCTCTAAAAAAATAATCGTTACTTGCTGGAAAAAAATCTGAAGGTGAGAAGAGTGTATAGTCTTTTCCTTGGTGACTAACTTAACTTTTAAAACTTCATTGATTCATTTATTCCTCTAAAATTAATTGAGTACCTCCTATGTGCCAGGTACTTTTTCAGATAGGAGGATGCCAAGAGAAGAAAAGCATTTTCTCTGTCTTCAAAGAGGAAAAGATGAGCATAGTGAATTTCGGGTGTTGTATTTATTCAGCTTGGACGTTTAAAAGATACTTGGCTTTCCCATACTATCTTGACATGCATTTTGTGAGTATTTTTAAAAATTCATTTATTTACTTTTTAAAAAAGAAAACTAATGAATGTATGTGGTTCAAAAACCAAAGAAAATATTTTCCCTTTCATTCTTGTCCTATGTCTGCCTAATTCCCTCTCACACCTTACAGAAGCCACTATTAATTTCTTACCTATCCTTTGAGAGTTATTTTTTTGAATATACTAGCAGATATAAACATATTCTCATTTTCTCCCATTTTTACGCTGTTCTGTATCTTTTTAAAATTTAAAAATATCGGGAGGATATCTTTCTATATGTGCACATTCTGTTTTCATTTTGTTATTCTTCCATAATATTCTATTGTCTCAAAGTACCACAGTGTATTTCTCTTACTGCTATTGATGGTAATTTAGGTTGTTTCCAATCTTTTGTTACGAAATTACATAAACAACCTTGTGCAACATCTGTGTCATTTTGTCCATGTGCACTAGAAGTATTACCTGTAGGATAAATTTCTGCAAGCCAAACTATTGGGTCTTTTAAAGGGTGTATGTTAACATTCTTGATTGTTTCCTTAAGATAAATTCCTAGGCATGAAGTTCCTGGGTTGACTAATATAAATACTTTAAAGGTTTTTGATATTCACTGAGAAATTGCCATCTAGAGAGTTCGTACTGATTCATTTTCTCACTTGCATGGTATAAAAGTACCCATTTCTCTGAAACCTTGCCGGTATTGGAAAATACCTTTTTAAAAATATGTCTTTGTTTACTTCATGGGTAAAGAATTGCATATCTATTTATTACCTTAGCATGCATTTCTATGAATAATGTATAATTTGAACTTTATCATATGTTTATTAGCCATTGCGTGATTAGAGGTTTGTCCATCTCTTTTGTCCAATCTTGAAGAATTTTTATTTTTATTACTGGTTTGTAATACATTAATACACTAATCATAATAATGATCTGTTTATTAAACCCTCGCCTTGTTCCAGGCACTGTGCTAAGCATTTTTAATTGGTCCGATGTATTGTAAATATTTTATCTGAGTTTGGTATGTGTCTTTAATACTTATTTAAACATTATTTCCTCTTAAAAACCTTTAGAAAGCTGTACAAATTATGTGATAAAATAAACTAATCTTTTATGTGTTTTTGTTTGCTCACTTAACACACAGGAAAGTCTATACACTCTAAAATCAGCTTAGCATTCACTTTGATTTTTCTAGTTCCTGTAGGACTTTAAGTAATTTTTAAAACAAATTAATTACTGTATACAAATGGTTAGCTAACTACAATGTAACTAACTTTTTCTGTTTCAAGAAAATATTTTTATACTTTTTAAAGCAATTCTTTTATTATTATTATTATTATTTTTTTTTGCAATGGAGTCTTGCTCTATCGCCCAGGCTGGAGTGCAGTGGCGCGATCGCAGCTCACTGCAACCTCTGCCTCCCGAGTTCAAGTGATACTCTGCCTCAGCCTCCCAAGTATCTGGGATTACGGGCACCTGCCACCATGCCTGGCTAATTTTTTTGTACTTTTAGTAGAGATGGGGGTTTCGCCATCTTGGCCAGGCTGGTCTTGAACTCCTGACCTTGTGATCCACCCGCTTCGGCCTCCCAAAGTGCTGGGATTACAGGCGTGAGCCACCGTGCCTGGCCAAAGCAATTATTTTTACACATATGAATCACTAAAAACATAGGGGCAGGGGAAGGACTAAAACTGCCCATAATCCCATCAACCTGAGACAATCTCTATTTAACATTTAGAGCAAATCTAGTTGATTTTCTATATGTAAATAAATATCCATATACTATGTAATTTTTACAGAAATGGCATTATATTATGCATATGTTTTGTTGCTTGCTTTTTCCCCCTCTTAGCCGTGTAGAGTGAATAACATCTTTTTATGTCAATAACCCCTCACCCTCATCATTATCCATTGTATGGAAGAGAACTCTTTAATGAGATCAATTTCCCCTCCAGAAGCAGGAAACCTGGGCAGAAGCATTCCATGAGAAACCTCACCTGCCTGTTTGATGTTCATCCGTTCAGAATTTCCTAAGGCAGTTTAATCCCATTGTTTCTCAACTACTTTCCGTTTCTTTGAGGGCCTAACAGCCCGCAAGAAAAGGGGAATGCAGTGGTCAATCATTAACCTGCTCCAACGAGAGAGACAACTCAGAAAGAAAACAAAAACACTTTTTTTTTTTTTTTGGCAAGACCTGGTTCAAAATCTTATAGTTTTTTTCCGCGAATTGTTTTCAGTCCTCTTTCCCATACGCCGTTGTCTTTGTCTCCCTAGCCTACACGCACACCTCCCTTCAGATAATTTTTAACTTACGCTCTTTATTTCTTAACAAAAATAATGACATGACTTGCTCTCCCAGAGCTCTGACCTTAGGTTTGTTCTAGCTGCAACACTAGTATAGACCATTCTATTAATTATGAATGTATTCATGTGTATAGAGGCAATGGTAGACCAGTGGTAATGTTACCTTATTCTGGAGACTTACACTTATAAATAAATAATGAGATGCTTCTGTGAAATGCCTTTAGCAAAGGCAGGGGAAAGCATTACTTCTCGAAAGACTGTACATTTGAAAGATTGAAAGGTGATACCAAAGGCTCTTCAATAACATATAAACCACGTCTGTGGAAAAAAAGAAAATAACATGAAAGAAGTGAACTGGAAATTCTATAATGCTAAATTGGGGACCAAAATTTTCTAGATGGCAAGTGTAAAATCTAAGTGAACAGAACAGAGAACCTAAAATAGATTCTTGGAGATGTAGGAAAACTGATCTCTGATCCTGCAAATATCTTTCTATGTTATACATTTAAAATAAATCACTACATTTAAAAATCTGAGATGTTATTTATAATAAAATGCTACATTCCCATCATATCCTGTTAAAGATGGTATTGAAAAGTTGTGTTAAGTAATTCCAATGAGAGATTGGTATGTATGATTGATTGGTTATTATTAAACAGCATTTTTTTCTATCTTAACTAACTTATATTGGGCTTGTGTATTAAGCTAGATATTCAAGTCTAGATACTAATTAAAACAGCTTCATGAAGTATAGTGGCCACTGGCTTCCTGGGAACATTTTTTCTGCGCTGAATATTCTAGTCAGTTTCTAGCAAATAGAAAATGCTTTGTGGTTGCCACTAGAGGGCAAATAGCCTCCTGGACTTCTCTTTGACCAAAGAGTGTCTTGGTCCAAGCAGCCAGAGTTTTAAGGTCTCATATAAACTAGTCTTAAATCTTGCATTGCCGATTGTTAGTCAACTCACCAACTCAGCAAACTCAGAACATTTTAATTTGTTTTAACTCAAAATTTAAATAGGTTCTTTTATCAGTCTACTTACATGGCCCAATCTGGGATGATAGATCTCTTCGCTGAGTGCACTAACTTCTTACCTTCTTATCCTACCCCTTTACAATCTAGATATTAAACCCCACTGCTCAGCCAGCAAGGTGACCTAACTTCACAGCGTTCAACAGCATTCTTAGACCGTAGAGTGACATCAAAGGCATTTCCCAGCCTGATTCGTTTCTGCTTAACTTTCCAATCTCTCCTCCTGCCATTCCCTCATAGTCCCTTTACTCTGCACTACTTCAGAGTTGCTGGCACTTTCTCAAATATATGATGTTATTTCATGCCCTCCTGTCTTTACTCAGGCTGTTACTTCTACCTGGGATGCTGGCACTGCCCACCACACACTGTTGAAGACTCAGTTCAGGTATTACCTATAAGAAAGCCTTATACTCTTTGCTGATCCCCTTTTTCTTTCCCTTCTTTCTTTCCAGAGCAATAGATTTACTTTTCCCTCCTCTATGCTCCTCTAGCATCTTTTACACACCTCAATAATAATACTAACTCTCCTCTTGTGATTATGTCTAGCAGAATATGAATATTCAATCTATTTTGAAATGTCAACTCAGTTGTTTTGTCTTTTCTTTGCTGCATTAGGAATTGTTAGGAGTTCTAGAAGAGGGATGGAATGCAAACAACAACTCCCTTTCTCTCCAGGAAGAAGAGACCTGAAGCCCACGATTGTGGTTTTTGAAGACTGAGCTCTCTGCCCTTGCGTAAGGAGGTCCAAGATTTCTCCTTGATAAAAATGTGGACTGAAATGCTAGTTAAAAGAAGCAATTAGGGCTTTTGGTATAGAGAAATATTTGGAAGCTGAAGAGACTGAGGTGGACTGGAAAAGATTTGGAGATGCCAAACATCACAACTCAGAGACAGGAAAGTGGTCTGAAAATATAGCAGCTGCCTGGAGGTGCCAGGTGAGTGGGCTTGGAGAAGAGCCACGATGAGGGCCACTGTTGGAGTCATACTGAAGAAACTCTTCACAGCCTTCCCCAGAGGACTATGCAGTTAAGCGGCAATTCTGCCTCATGTAGACAAATAATCATGGAAGGTGATTCGCAGCCTGTGATCAACTTCTTTTTTATCCCAGCAAAAATAAGTGATTCCTGAAAATTATCAAAATAATCAAACACAAGGAGAGTCTGAGAAACTGTCACAGCCAAGAGGAATCTTAAGGTGACATGATGGCTAAAGGCAATGTGGTACTCTAAATGGGATCTTGCAAAAGAAAAAGAACATTGGGGGAAAACTACAGAAATCTGAATAAAGTAGAGACTTTAGTTAATAATGTATCAGTATTGGTTTGTTAATTATAATTATATATACCATACTAAGGTAAGATGTTAATAATATGAGAAACTGGGTGTGGAGTATATCCAATGTATCTGTCTTTCCAATGTCTTTGTAAATCTAAAATAGTTCTAAAAAATAAAGTTTATTTAAAAAGAAGGAGAAGGAGGAAAACACAGACTAACCTGTGAGGATGTGTCCTCCAAAACCCTCAGGACACTGGAAGCACCCAGGGGACCTGAACTCATGAATTCCTTGGGTATAGGGATTGATTCATGCTGACATTCTCCATGGCCAGTGCACAGTATCTGGTTTTAAATAGTGGTCAATGCATAGTTACTGAATTAAAATTTATTTCCAGTAAGGAAGACGCAAGAGGCAATAAAGATAATGTTTTTCTTCTGATGATAAATAAAACTGCAAAATATATTTTGTGTACTTAAGTTGATTGAAAATTTTGTAGGGATATCCAGTTCAACAGAGTTCACCCTGACATTTGGAAAAAACTGTGCTCTTAGTGCAGAAAGTGACACAAGACTCCATTCTTTAAGAATACTACTATTTTGCCAGACGTGGTGGCTCACGCCTGTAATCCCAGCACTTTGGGAGGCTGAGGTAGGCGGATCATGAGCGCAGGAGATCGAGACCATTCTGGGCTAACACAGTGAAACCCCGTCTCTACTAAAAATGCAAAAATTAGCTGGGAGTGGTGACACGTTCCTGTAATCCCAGCTACTCAGGAGGCTGAGGCAGGAGAATCGCTTGAAAACCCAGGAGGCGGAGGTCACAGTGAGCCGAGATCGTGCCACTACACTCCAGCCTGGGCAACAGAGTGAGACTCCATCTCAAAAAAAATAAAAAAGAAAAAAGAATACTGCTATTTTTTCTGATGTTCTGATGTTAACCTGGAGGAAAACCATCCTTATAAAAATAAGATATTAAAATCAGGGAAGAAAATACACAAATAGAGATTGGGTACATAATATCTAATAGTTTTAAGTAAAGAATAAAGGTTCAGTTTCTTTTTCATATAAAAGGAAGCAAACATATTAAAATTCTCCTAAGTACTAATATTTTAAGTACATAGACTGAAAATTGAAAGTGTTCATATATTTTTGATACGAAATTGTTCTCTGATGTTTTTTAGTCTAGTAAAAGTCCCTTGACAAATGATAATTATTAAATAGTATTTTATCCATGGTTACTTCAAAATAATTTGTTATATAGACATTGTATTTTTAAAGTTTGTCTATTTCATGATATTTGTCTTTCAGTATGGTAAGGTACAGTAGAAACTTTATACTTAAAAGAAGAAGATGTTGCAGAAAGGAAAGATGGCCAAAAAATAAAGGTTCAGATCATGAATTTGAAAGCTTTCCTCTGTCCAGATTCTCCACATTGACTCAATCAGTTGGGGGTCTTGCTGATGACTCAGGACTCTGCTAAACTGTCTTGCTTATCACAAGGGCGACTATCAGCCACACAAATATAAAGCTGTAACCCTCTCTCCTTGGCAAGGAAGTAAAAACCAAATAGATTTTTAGCTTGAACAGGCAACCCAAACTGATAGTTTATTCTTGACATATTGAGAAAGATAAAAAGGTCATTTTTTGGTATTCTCAGAATAAATCAATGATGTTTTAAAAAGTACTCATGTCCAGATGATGGTAATTACATGAGACAGATGTGGTGTTTCTCTCTCAAAATAAAATAAATGAAAGGAATGAAGAAAAGGAGAGAGGACAAAGAAATGCATATGATTGAAAGCAACAGGGTAGTAAGAGTTCTGGGTGGTATAGAGAGGAAAGAAAACTGAGTAGATACCCTCTCTTCCTGCCAATAATTCTATGAGTTGACTATCTAACCTGCTTTAAGGCCTACTACACTTGTAAGTTTATGTGCCTTTTTTTTTTTTTGAGATGGAGTCTTGCTCTGTCACCCAGGCTAGAGTGCAGTGTCACCATCTTGGCTCACTGCAAGCTCCGCCTGCCAGGTTCACACCATTCTACTGTCTCAGCCTTCCGAGTAGCTGGGATTACAGGTGCCCGCTACCACGCCCAGCTAATTTTTTGTATTTTTAGTAGAGACGGGGTTTCACCATGTTAGCCAGGATGGTCTCGATCTCCTGACCTGGTGATCCACCCGCCTCAGCCTCCCAAAGTGCTGGGATTACAGGTGTGAGCCACCGCGCCGGCTGTTTGTTTAGGTGCCTTTTCTAACTTTCTTAACAACTTCAACAAAAAATTATTATGCATATATTTTAGAAATGAGGATGCTGGAGGGTCAGATTGTTTAGTAACTGATCCAAGGTCACCTACCTAGTAGGAAGCAAACCCAGGGGTCAAATGTAGATCTATTTGATTCCATAAACCATGGAACCTTCTATACTACCTCTCAGAATTTCCCTGTCAAAACTTTTCCGGAATGATTTTGGATTAAAAATTTTGATTGGTTAATTCATAGTAATAAGAGCTACCAAAAACCCAATTCATTGTTGAAACTAATTGAACCTCATCAATTATTTCAACTTTTTTTGTATCTCTAATCTTTGCTATCTTTTGCGATCCATAAAAAAAGATTTTCTTATTTATGCCAAATTCTTTATGCTATACTATGATACAAACCAAATCAATCTGCAATTTATTGCACTGGTCCCATTATGCTACATCCGCATGCAGAATGTTGAAAGCAATGCTCAAAACTCTGATTTTCTGTATATGTTATTTGTGACCCACATAGTGTTTTAATTCTGAACATTTCTTTTGGTTAATTATTATTGCTTCCAATTCTCTGTGGAAAGTTTGCATCTTGACTCTTAATTTCTTAAAATATCAGTGGTGGCCATTTTACAGTCTGTGTCTGAAAACACCGTTATCTGGATCCCACTGTAGGTCTGTTTCTGGTGCCTGTTTTTCTTTTGTTTTTTGGTCACATCCTGTCTCCTTGTTTGCCTGGTTGTTTTCTTTTCTTTTCTTTTTTGAGATGGAGTCTCGCTCTGTCACCCAAGCTGGAGTGCAGTGGCGTGATCTCTGGCTCACTGCAACCTCCGCCTCCCGGGTTCAAGTGATTCTCCTGCCTCAGCCTCCTGAGTAGCTGGGATTACACGCATGCACTACCATGCCTGGCTAATTTTTGTATTTTTAGTAGAGATGGGGTTTCACCATGTTGGCCAGGCTGGTCTCAAACTCCTGACCTCAGGCGATCTGCCCGCCTTGGCTCCCAAAGTGCTGGGATTGCAGGTGGGAAACACCATGTCCAGCCTGGCTGGTTGTTTTCTATTGCCAGATGTCGCATGTGGAAATTGTCACAAGACTCTGTATAATGCTTTGTTCCTCTAGAGAAAATGTACACATGCTTTGGCAAGCAGCTAGGTTAGATGCACTAGTAACCTCAAAACACTTTAATCCAATCAGCAATTGGAGATCATCTGAGGTTGAGTTTCAGTTCCTGTTAGATTTGATATAGTTCCAGTTCAGTATTATCCTTAGGTATAACTCCTCTGGATCCAAATTGCCTGCCTGAGATATTTACCATGATCCCTACTCTTTAACAAACACTGACCTCCCATTTTTGGTCCCCCAGCTCTATGAGTCTGTCCAGCTCTCTGTTTTCAACCTTTAAGCCACAGCTTTCAAAATCAACAATCATCTTTAAGAGAAAAGTGAACCCAAATACCAGGTTTACCTCCATGGACTTTCATCTTCTCCCTGCTCTTGACTCCATAATTCTTCACTGTTTTGTTGGCTCTGCAAAAATTTCAGATTTTAATATTTTTTAATATTTAGTTTGGCTTCTCTAGCTGTTACTGGGAAGGTTGATCCAAAATAACCTAGGCCATCATTGCTGGAAGAGGATTTACCTATACAATATCAATTATTTTTACTTACTGTCAATAAAGACATATAGTTTCGACTTAAATTGAGATGTTTGGTTTCTCATAAAAAATTAGGAGCTATGGCAAACTGATCCCAAGTTTCTGCATATCAGCCATCTGTTGAATCAGAGTAAGGGCTGCCACTTAGAGATGGGTCAGGCAGCATCCAGTTCACAAGCATCGTTTGTTCCAACATCTTAGTTTCTTATACCAGAAACTTGACCAGTGGCAGAATGCCTAAAACTAAGACGTAAGAAACATCTAAACACCTAAAACTAAGATGTAAGATGTTTCTTACATCTTAGTTTCTTAAACTTTTATTCATTTCTGCCACTTGTCTGGCCCTTTTAGGCATTTGCTTTTCTGACCTCTGGTTCAAGTGAGTAATTACAAACCAGGCAACAGGGATCCAAATAAAATATCCCAAGTTCTTTTCCCACAATATTATTTAGCACCCAGCAGCAACACAGGTTCTGCTTAGTCCCATTGATAAACCCTCAGAACTAAAGAAATGTTCGTTCATATACTTCTGTGCATTTACTTGAAGTAAATCTCACAACATTGTTTTTATAGTATATTCTACACCAAGTTTGCAATCATAGATATTTCTCTTTTTTAACCCACAAACTTGGATTATCTACAACATGACCAAGGAATTCTAATCTGTATCAATTATTTAAAGATTTAAAATTCCTTCTTTAATTGAATCTCATCCTTGTTTCCTCAACTGAACTAACTAAATTATTGTGCATGGAATTTTGCAAAAATTAATTTGAATAATAGTGATTGTTAAGGTTTCAGGGGAGAGGTTAACTTTCTCATAGATTCTATCCATGATTGGCAAATATTCATTCCATTTCTCACTCATCAAATATTTGAGCAGACGCCCTGTACCAGGCAGGCAGTGTCCTGAATGCTGAAGATGCCAAGATGAATAAGACACAAGCCCTGACCTAGAGAAGCTCACTGTGGTAGGGAGACAGACATGAAACACAGTCCTTACAACACTCTGTGATAAATATTATAATCGAGTTATGAACCAAGAGCTATGGGAGTAAATGACTAGGTATGTCTGAGGAGTTAAAAAAAAAAAAAGCTTCTCAGAGCAAATGGCATTTCAACCTGCTCTTAAAAGGATAATCTTGGTGCTGGTCCAGTACAGAAGAGGAAGGGGGTTTTTGTGTCTTCTTACCTGAACCGTGCTACCCCAGAAGCTCCCACTAGTAACCCTGCCTCACATTTTTAACTCTAGCAATCCATTATCTATACGGATCTTTTTTTTTTTTGAGACAGAGTTTCACTCCTGTTGCCCAGGCTGGAGTGCAGTGGCACCATCTCGGCTCACTGCAACCTCCACCTCCCCGGTTCAAGCAATTCAACTGCCTTAGCCTCCCAAGTAGCTGGGATTACAGGTGCCCACTACCATGCCCAGCTAATTTGTTGTATTTTTAGTAGAGACGGGGTTTCACCATGTTGACCAGGATAGTCTTGAACTCCTGACCTCAGGTGATCCGCTCGCCTCGGCCTTCCAAAGTGCTGGGATTACAAGCATGAGCCACTGCGCCCAGCCTATACTGATCTTTCCAAATCACAAATATTATCACTGATTTCCCATCCTTTTCACAATGAATTCAGACCCCTTGGCTGGCATCAAAGGCCTTTGTCATTCTAAGCCCTGATTCAACATCCAGCTCCAGTTCCTGCCATGCCTCCCAGGCAGGGAATGTGCTGCAGGTGGAATGGAACTTAAAAGACCATGGTACCACATGTCTCCATGTCTTTTGCATGAGTTTCCTCTGCCTCATGCATGTTGTCTAAGCCTCTTTCCATAGCACTTTATGAATGCCTGTATTAGCACCTATCCACTATATAGTAAAACCTATTTACCTTATCTGAGTTCATCCAAAAGACCACTGGATCCATATAGCTTGGCCCATTACTTAACACACAACTGTTTCTCAATGTATATTTGGGATCAATGAATGAATTAAAGAGACACTGCCATAACTAGTGTGGCGAAATTCGAGGGTAAAGGGAGAACCTGGAATGAGATGAGATGCATAAGGTACCACTATGTATGAAGATAACTATATCCCAGGTTATATACATACTTTTATTAAGATGCTGCTGCTAAATCTCTCAGAAATACTGTTGTTCACTCGTGTCCAAGAGTGTATCATAGTCAACAGATTTTTCAGTAACATTTGGTTTAAAAAAATATCCTTCTTGGACCATAATAATAAAGGAAAATTTGAGATACCCTGACAGTGGCATCAGAAACACACACACACACATACATATCTATGTATGTGTGTGTGTGTGTATATTACTTAAAGTAAAACATAAGTATAGCTACATCTTTGAATGGATTTTTCTAAGGCTTTTGTCTGTGCTATTTCTGTTTATTCTTCCTGATTGCAGATCTCAGTTGTTATCTGTTGGGTCTGAGATCTTCATAGGTCTAACTCGGGTCCTAATTTTCCTCAAAAGTTGGAGTTCTAAATGTAATTTGGTACCCAGATTGTACTCTGGAATGGATAAAGTACATTAGTGGAAAAACTGGTGAAATTCAAATGAAGTTTGTAGCTTAGTTGATAGTAATATAACTAAGTTCTTGATAATCACAAATGTGGCATAGTTATGGAAGATGGAAGTATCTGGGAAAACTGGATAAAGAGTGTATAGGAACAATCTGGATCTATCTTTGCAACTTTTCTGTACACCTAAAATTATTCCAAATAAAAATTTTATTTAAAAAAAATTGAAGAACATTAAGAATTATGTTCAGAGCATTATGTCACCTACAGAGAAATCAAATTCACTTGAAGACTGACCCCATGATGTATTATTACAACCTGATATATCTTAGGCGCCTCATACTGCAGGGAATCAATGACTTCCTTTACAAACGTTCTTCTGTGCTATTCTTTGCCTTCCAGACTTTCTGGATTTTAGATTTGTATGTATATTCTAGGGAAAATTCACATGTATCTTGTTTGTTGTGCGTATTGTCTTCATCTAGAACTGATATTCCCAGGGTCCCTCATTAAGCTAGAAAAGTCACTGGGAAGTAATCTGTATTCTTTGAATACTACTACTAAACAAGAACAGCTAAATATAAAAAATAAAAAACATTTACCATAGAAATTCTTTGGTGGTATATTTCTTTTTCATTTTTAATATCAATAACAGTAATTCATGTTTGTTGTGGAAATTTTAGGAAGTAAAGACAAAATGTGTATTTTGTTTTTATTGTTATAAATTAATATTTAATTGTTCTAAGGAAAAAGAACATTCAATGTACTGTAATTACATGTTAAGATGACTGTGGAAACAGAATGAAATGCTAGATTTTGTTATGACAAGCAGACGTTTCTAAGTAATATCACATAAACAGTACATAGCTTAACAAAGCAAGAAGCATCTTCTGCTGGGTAATTCCATGGCTTGCGCCTATATAAATACAACCTACATAAATGAGAACAAAAACTTGTAAGAATCCAGTGACTTGAAATATCAGATAATTGGCTGGGCACGGTGGCTTACGCCTATAATCCCAGCACTTTGGGAGGCCAAGGCGGGCAGATCACCTGAGGTCACGAGTTCAAGACCAGCCTCACCAACATGGGGAAACCCCATCTCTACTAAAAATATGAAAATCAGCCAGGTGTGGTGGCGCACGTCTGTAATCCCAGCTACTTGGGAGGCTGAGGCAGGAGAATCACTTGAACCCACAAGGCGGAGGTTGCAGTGAGCCAAGATCGCACCACTGTACTCCAGCCTGGGTGACAGAGTGAGACTCTGTCTCAAAAGAAACAAACAAACAAGGAAATATCAGATAATTAGCCAACCTACTGCCTAATCCGCTCTGTGGAACATCTCAGCTTAATAATAAAGTTATTAAGTGACTCATTCTTCTCCAAGACTGCTGGCTACTAGCGGGGCCTCTTCTTAATGCTACCAAGAAGAGTATTCTCTCTCTGAGAATATGCAAAAATATCATTTTAATATATGAGATTCTGAAATCCACAGGCAAATGGATCAAATAAAGAAAGGACTAACCTAAGTGGGAATAATTTTGTTTGACCCCCACAAAGCGACTGGGCAAATCAGACCAGATCCATAATCAGAGTTTCCAAGTGGCTGGCAGCGCTGTTTCCTGACCAAAGTTAGAGAAGTGCAAAAGACACAGGTGACCTCACAGGCCGCCTGACAAACCCCTGAATGTTCTCTGGTGTAGTCAGAGATGAAAGGAGGGTAGAAGATAAGAGGAGTTTTAAATTACAGATCTTAGCATCAGTGTGTGCTAGCTGAAGGAGGAGGCTCAGAGGGCGATGAACATGCTACAAAGAGCCTTGTGAAGTGGGGCATGGAGTGTGTCCCCTAATCAGCGGACATTCTATTAGAGGGCATTCATTCATTTCATCTATCCTATTTACAAGGAAACCCAGGAATAATTTCAAATGACAAGTAAGAAAAAGAGAAAAATATATATATTTTTTGACTTAAAGACTTGGAAAAGATTCTTCTACAATGCATTCTTCCACTTGGAAAGTAGGCACTTTGGGTGGCTGTATCAACAGTATGAAAACACAGAAAAGCATTTTTTCTTGAAAGAAATTACTAGATGGTATCTTAGCAGACTGAATTTAGAAACAGGTGATAATATTTTTACACAAATTGATATGCTCCTATCTACATTCTGAATATAGCAAATTTAAAAGTCGTCTTTCTTTCCTGTGCTTGCTGTCCCGACGCACAAGATGATGTAGATAAGGCACCTCCCATTTTAATGGGCTCCTCCCTTGCTTGTGAGGTTTCTTCCAGGCTGTGTCATGTTAACAGCATTTGACCTGGCTGAGGAACTCCCTGCTCCTTGAAACCATTTCTTTCCTTCTCTTCTCTTTCTCACTGGCCACTCTTCTCATGCTGACTTTCTGCCTCCTCTTCTCCGCAACCTCGGAACGTTGAAGGGATGCAGAACTTGGCTCTGGGACCCCCTCTCTAACTACTCTCTCTCCCTAGAAGACATTCTCCAGTCTTACCATTTCATATTCCATTCACGTAGAGATAATCACTCCCAAATGCATATCTCCAGCCCAAATGTATATCTCCAGCCCATATGCCTCCCCTGAACACTAGACTTAGATGTCCAATTACCTACTCAACATTGCCATATTAAGCTTAGTAGGCATCTCAAATTAATATTTGCAGAATTAAACTCTTCTTCCCCCAAACCTGCTCCTCACACAGGATTCTCTGTCAATATCAAAGTCAACCCTTCCAGATGTTGAGACCAAATGCTGCAGAATCGTTTTTGACTCTTCTCTATGACCCACATTCGCTCCATAGGCAAATCCCACTGGCCATGCCTTCCAAATACATTCAGTTACTTCTCAACACCTCTGCAGAATCACCCTGGTCAAAGCCTGGATGATTACAGTAGCCTCCTCCTTCCTTCTGTTCTTTTGTTCCACAGAATGGTCTCAACACAGCCGCCAGAGGCTCTTCCCCTATGTCTCTCAATATCTTACTGACCATTGCTTAAAAACTTGCTTGAGGGAATGGCTGTCATTCCCGTGGAAGACAAATCATAATACCGTTCAACTTAAATTTGTTTAAAAAGAAGATTTCATATGAACATGTTAATTAATTAATTGGAAGCATATAATACTGGAGTTGAGCAGAAAGTTACAAATTAATCAGTTCTTTTTCTTTTGAGACAGAGTTTTGTTCTGTCGCCCAGGCTGGAGTGCAGTGGTACAATCTCGGCTCACTGCAACCTCCGCCTCCCAGGTTCAAGCGATTCTTCTGCCTCAGCCTCCCGAGTAGCTGGGATTATAGGCGCGTGCCACCACGCCTGGCTAATTTTTGTGTTTTTAGTAGATACGAGGTTTCGACACGTTGGCCAGGCTGGTCTTGAACTCCTGACTTCAGGTGATCCGCCTGCCTGGGCCTCCCAAAGTGCTGAGATTACAGGCATGAGCCACTACACCCAGCCCTCAAATCAATCAGTTTTATGCTCTCGTTGCATTGAGGACAAAGTTGAAGCAGAGAAGATTAAATGAGCCTCACTCAGTCCATGGTAGAGCTAGCACCACAGTCAGATTAGGTCTCAGGTCTCATTACTTCTCAGAGCAGGGATCTATGAGGTTTTATTTATTTATTTATTTATTTATTTATTTATTTATTTATTTTTTCCCCAGAATATTTTGCAAAGGATTAGTCACATTTTCCCCAGATCAACTGATTTTTTCTTCAGATAATGTGCTAATTACAGAAGTTATATAGTTCAGTTTCATAAAAAGATACGTTGTATGTAACTTCGGCTTAAAATGAAGTACCAGAGTTAAGAATATGTTTCTCATGATTTATAATTCTGTTGAATTTTGAGATCTTTTAGGGAGTGAGCTCATGTTGTTCTCACCAAACTCAGTGAAGAGTTTTCATTGTCAGAAGAAGGGCTCCACCCTCGCCTTTGCTGGCTCTGATCAACATCAATGCCAAAGCGGCTGTGGTGGTTACACTGCATTGGGAGTACTCCAAAGCGAAACTTGGCTGGGTAAACTCTACTCCTCCTTTCTCTCCTAAGAGGCTATATTTGGAGAACCAGTTTGCCCTGCTCATCTTGGGGTTTTTATATTTATTTTTTGACAAATTCTTCCCCAACCATGCCTGGCTTGATATTAAGCTTGAAAGTATAGCATGCACATGAATACTAGTATTTAAATGATTAGTGGTTAGACTTCTAAGACTAAGTATACTGTGGATGCATACCTATCTATATAGATATTGGTTGGCCTCCCAGGCTCAGGTAATTCTCCCACTTCAACCTCCCAAGTAGCTGAGACTATACAGACATGCCAACATGGCCGGCTAAATTTTGTATATTTTGTAGAGACAGGGTTTTGCCATGTTGCCCAGGCTGGTTTCAAACTCCTGGGCTTAAGCAATCAGCCCACCTTGGCCTCCCAAAGTGCTGGGATTACAGGTGTGAGTCACCAAACCCAGCTTTTAAAGTTCTTCTCCTACCTTTACTGATGGCAACTGCTAACTAATTTTAGTCTTTCATTTTGAGATAACATCTTTCAGAATTGTTGTGAGGTTAAAGGTTACATCTATATGTAGAGCCATTTCATAGTGCTTAATACATAGTCAATAAATAATAAATAATGCATATACTTCTCTAAATTGTAAACTTTAAGTAACACAGTTATAGGGAAATTAGCTATTTATTTTCCTGCTTTAATTAGAAGATTGAATTTGCCAATGCTCTGTTGCATATGAGGTAAGTTGTTGCAAATTCTTTTTAGAACCTTACAGACTCTACTTTCTAGTGTCCGTAAAAAAGCAAGTCGGTAAAATTGTGGAAGATAACAAGAATTCATCTGTATGATAAAACTATAGAGTAATGGGTCTATTTTTCTTTGATGATTTATAGAAATAAAAATTGATCATTTAGAACCAAACTTTGTGTTTTAAGATCACAGCTACTCAATATCCCCCAAGTTGCAGATGACATTATTGTGTTAGATGGTAAACATGCACATAGCAAACTCGTTGCCTTAAAATAAGTGCTAAATCTTTTGCAAAATAAAATATTAGTGTTATTGATATAGGCCAACTACCTTCATCACCAAGATGCCTCTTTATCTCTTGGCTGCCTTTACTAAAGTGGTATTAGGTATTCAGAAGTGAAGTCCAGTGAAGCATTTTACTAAATCTATCATTGTAAAGCTAATTGGATGTTGCACATTAAGAAGAAATAGCCAGCACAGTGATGTAAGAAGGCTGTGGAATCAGAATCATACGTTTGTAAGAGACCTAGATAATTTCCAGTTCAATCACCTAGCCAGATCATAATATTCTACTTTAAATATCTGAATGTAGGGGAAATTCCATGTATTTAGTAAATAGATCATGTTCTAGTAACTGTAATTAACATAGCTCATTGGTTCAAAATACAGTCTCTAATATTTTTGCCTCCTTGTATTTGCTTTCCTAAATGTCATACCTGGATCCCTGACCACATCCCTTGTATTTTCTTATCTATGTTATATCTGAAAAATTTGGGCATTTGCTTAGTTAGTGCCTCGATACTTCTGAATTGCTGATCCATTCTACTTTTTCTCCACCCACCACCAACTATAAAATACCCTTTATTCAGCATGTTTTACAATCATTGGTAAAATCATAAAAATTAAATGGGCCCAAAGAGAAGTCATATTGTTCTAGATGTGTGATTTTTATTCATGACACAGGAAGGAGAATAGCAGGGAGATTCTGAGCCAGTTCCCCTTCTCTGCCATGTACCATCCCATTAGCAAGTTGAAAAATGGTCTTTGGAGCTGGCTACCACACTAGCTTCACCTGTTTACTCACCCCTAATATCTAGGATTATCTCCAAAATTAGTGACAAGAACAGTAGAAATAGAACTATGGTCATCACATCTTTCTACTTTTTGAAACAATTCTAAGTTTGATCAAGACATAAGACAGATAACACTTATTTTTTAGGCTACTCAAGTCAGAAGGAAGGAGGAGGCCCCTTTATAACACCTGCCATAAATATTGTAGAACCAGCAGTTTAAGAAAATTAGAGCCAATCTTCTTCAGCTCACCAGAACAGATACAAAGATGCTCCAGGAGCCTGATGCCTAGGCAAACACGCTACTGCAGGATACTATCACCATTTCATGTCCTTTCAGAAATTAAATAATAGATTTCTGATTGCCTGGATTATAAAACTGCTGTTTCATCAACAAGTTAAAACATTAATCATATTCCAACTGGAAACAGGAGAAATCATTTTTATTCTAAGAATATTTTTATTCCAAGACAAATTTTGCCAAAATAAACAACATGTATTGGTGAGATTATAGCCATTTTAAAACTCATATTGTTGAATAGAACACTTATACTTACTTAAATTAGATAACTCTGTGTTTGGCCATTCCAAAAACTAAATGAGCATCTGAATCTCTAAAAAGAAACTTCTTTTTATCAAAAAAGAAATTTCTTGATAAAAATTGCTTTTCTATTTACTTAGGCCTCATTTACATTTTTACCAATAGGACAGAGGGTTTCTCTTTTGCCATGAGATTACAGTTTAGCAGTTACCACGATTTCAAAAGAAAACTGGTCCAACCTAGGGGAATAAAAAGATTTGGGTCAATAAGGGTAAATATAGTGATTAGCTGGTGTGCAGGAAAGATATAAACTCTATTGCCAAATTGTTTGTAGCCGCATTTATGTTCTGGTTGTAGGAGATGATTGAGCAAGAAAATAAAGAGTTGAAAGGAAAGAATAGGAAGTTGAGCCTAGCGAAGAACGCTGAGTAGAGAGAGAACCAACAGGGGCAGCAGAGGTCCTAACATGATCCGACTCATCATGAACATCACAGTTCCTGTTCTTGCTCTTGCAGAACCCCCACATGCTCTTCTTTCTACCCCGATAGCCTCTCTTTCCCACTACTTTCCTCACCTGAGAAAATATCTAGCAAATTTATAATTTAAAGTTTTAGTTGCTCTCCTAAAGCCTTTTGCTAAGTGTACTAGAACCTTCCTGGGACATCATCTGATCTAATGGATACACCACTACTCTGCTCCAGCCCTTTTGCTTCCCATGTCAACAGGCCAGCCACTCTCTGAACATACGCAAAATCTGCAGGTCATCTCTAAACAACTGTATATTGGGATGTCATCCTAGTAGATTGTGCCAACCCACCTGGACAGCCTTGTTATATGAATAATTCTCTTTACTGACCTGTAAAAACATAAGAAAGAAATGGCCTTGCCTCTAAGATGCTTTGCTCTAATCAAAGATCTGAAACACACAATCCTGACATAGCTTGAAAAGAATTGTCTAGTATTATGTCAACAAATGCACATTGTCCTGCAACATTGAGATAAAATAAGCACATCAGACATGTAAGAGTACACAGCAAAAAAAATGAAAACAACTAAAATATTTATTTTAAAAATTTGTTAAATAAGTTATGGCACGTCTATGTAATAGAATATTATGTAACCATAAAAAGTATGACAATGAAAAGTAACTATTGCTCTGGAAATATCTCTACATTATGCAAAGTGAAAAATTTGATGTCCAAAAAAAGAAATACACACTATAATTTTTGTTCAATAAATAATATTTACATGCATAATACATACATGAAGAAAATCTGGAAATATGCACAATAAAATAGTTACAGAGGTTATTTTTGGTGTGGATTTGTGGATTACTTTTATTTTCATCTTTAGGTTTTGCTGATATTTTTATCTTTATGTTTTTTGACATTTTTACAATTTGTCTATGAAAAAGAAAATAGAAATACATAAATAAATAGAAAATAAATAATTAAAAGACAGAAAATCATTAAAGTTATTTTAAAATAAGCATTGCCAGAGAGTTAATGATAGATGGCTTCCTGAATGAAGAACCATGCGTCACTAAATCCTACAATGTTGTTTTTCAAGAGTTGATGACTGTGGTTTGGAAGAAGAGAGAGTGGAAAGTGTTTTAGATAGAGTGTCCTGAGATAAGGTAAAATACTAATTGAATATAAGGAAACGAAAGTTGAGGCTGGGCGCGGTGGCTCAAGCCTGTAATCCCAGCACTTTGGGAGGCCGAGGCGGGTGGATCACGAGGTCAGGAGATCGAGACCATCCTGGCTAACATGGTGAAACCCCGTCTCTACTAAAAGTACAAAAAAATTAGCCGGGTGTGGTGGCAGGTGCCTGTAGTCCCAGCTACTCGGGAGGCTGAGGCAGGAGAATGGCGTGAACCTGGGAAGCGGAGCTGGCAGTGAGCCGAGATCGCGCCACTGCACTCCATCCTGGGCGACAGAGTGGGACTGCGTCTCAAAAAAAAAAAAAAAAAAAAAAAAAAAAAAAAAAAAAAAAAGAAAGTTGAGTGTTTAAACTGAAGCAGAGCAAAGAACAAGCGAGAACCTTGCAGTTTCACTCCTCCAAGCTTCTGCACATGCTGTTTTCACTACCATGGAACATCTTCTGCTGATGAAGTACTCTTTCAAAATCAAGCTCCAGTAACTCTTCCTCCATTAAATTTCCTTTGACTCAGGCTTTGGTTTTTGTCCCCACTGTGCCCTCTGCATGCCAGTATTGTTGAACAGAACACACTGTATTGCATCAACTGATTTTTAATTTGTTTAAGCCATTTTCTAAGTAACAAGTTCCATGAGGGTAAAGGACTTATTTTTCTTGAACACAGTCTTGTCATATAGTAAATGTACCATACATGTTTGTGTGGAATTGGCTTGAATTGACTTTAATTGAACTGAAACCATTTTGGAGAAGATTGGTTAGCAGAGAGCCTGAAAAGTGGGGCTGAAGAGATAGGGTTGCTAGAATTCATAATATAGAGGTGTTAAGCATATACCTCATTGGTATAGGAGGATGGTTCTTCTAGAAGCTGGATTAAAAATGTATTACCATTTTTCAACCGTGTTCTCCAGAGTTGGGAGTTGGCAGTTCTGGAAAGGCTGCTAATGGACAATGTTGGAAGGTGCCAAAAATGATCCATTTAACAATCTGCCAAAGGGTACACTTATTTTATTTATTACAGTTTGTAGATTCCTGATAAAGACTGAACAGTGGGTTGAAGATCAATGTTAAAAATATATTCGACAAGTTACTTTCATATGATACAATTTCAATCCTATGCCACAAGCCTTGATGACAATATATGTTGCATTTTTTGCAATGTTGTCACAGTAATTGTCTTATTTTGCCTGATAGCATATATTTTGCTTATTTTTAGAACATAATATAAACAGATTCGTATTTTAATGTTGACCTAATGAACAAAATATTTTTAAAATGGTAAGTATGGTTTTATCAGACCAAGTATTGTCTACAGCTTGACCAAACTTTTAGATTTTTCTATTGAACAGTTATATTTGAAAATATATTTCATTAAGGCTTTTAGTCTTTTAAGATTATACTTTTGATTTAATTCTATTCAAGGGAAAATAGTTATACCTGTAATCCCCTGCAAAGAGATGATTTTGTTTAAACTGGAGGCTTTTAATATAGAATTGCCAATGTTGATAAAGTTCAAAGTTAACCCAGTTCTTTTTCCTTTAATTGTGATTTTTAACATTCCTTTAGTGCTTTGTTGCACATGTTATGATAGTAGAAAAAATGTACTAGTTCAATTATTTCACATACGACTTTTTATACTGTTCATCAACTTTACACACAGTCACTTTCCACTACTGGTACGAAGGTCACTGACATCACAGCCTATCCAACAACTGATGACAACTGTGTAGGGAGCTACAAAAATGACTCAGAAATTCCTCTTTGTGGGAGAAAAAAGGCAGCTGTTTCTTGAACATTGTATCAGTTCTTAGCAACCATGACCTAGATGTCAATAAAATGGGAAAGTCTTTTCTCTCAGTGAAGGCTGATTTACTGTGATGGACCCACATTCAGTATTCAGTTTGAAGATGCAAAGCAATTTACTGTTTATTTAGTGTCTTTTCTCTAAGTAATTAAAATACATTTAATAACGCTTTTTCTATATTTTGGAATTATTTTGCATTCACCTTAAAAGAAAGAAAAATAAAATTAAAACTTTTTCATTAATGTGAATCTAGAAATAATTTCTGCTATGAGTAGAATAGCTTTTATTTATGACTTCACTTGTGGTATTATCTGCTGAAAGAAAGAATGTAGCAGACAAATGCATATCACTATGGGAATGAATTTTAAGGAATAATAATAATTCTTGTCTCGCATTTCTCTACTAAACTATAATTATGAGTTAAAGCACCAATTTGATCTATTTGGCATCTTCATAACCATTTTACCTATTACAAGCCCCCTTTCAACAATGGTATAGCCATCAGTGGACATTCAGTATCTAGTATTCACTAGATTCTGGTGTATTACCCCCTATCATTCATTTACTGCCTTTCTCCTGGGGCTTTCAAAAGCAGTTAATCTTCATTCCATCCCTGTGAACCTCTTGCTAGATGGAGAAGCTGTGCTTGCACGGATTGAACCACAGAATTTTAAAGGCAAAAATATGTTACCCATTGGGAATCTTTGCTCCTTGCTCTGGAAATAGCAGTGGGATATATCTAATCTTGAGAGCCTCTTTTCTTTTCTTGCTAAGAAAAAAGTGGAGAGGAAAAGAAAACAGTAGACCATCTTCAATATGGAATAATGAGGCTTCTTATCTTCCCCACCCAGTGGGTGTTTGTACCAAGGCAGCAGAGGCTGCAACAGGAGTGAAGCAGAGAAGCAAGAGTACAGAACATGGCTTTAGTTTTTGCAAAAGGGAGAAACATTTCAAATAATTAGATAGGGTCCTCCTTGAAGCCTTAAATCCATGTCATGCCATACAAACCAAGAAAGAGTGAATGTGTTTTTTAGTGTAGTCCATTTCCAACAAGTGATGAAATATGTTAATGAGTAACCACAATAGCTGAAATATTAAATTAGTCTCATGACTGCTTTGGAGGGTATTTCACTACCGTTCAGTTCATGCTGTGATACCTAGCTGACAACAATATGATACAGAGTTAGTAAGATAATAAACACATTCATCATTCTCAGGCTCCATTGTGGCCCTTGGATAGAAGGTTTCATTTCTCTTGGGTAAATACCTAGGAGAAGAACAGATGGGCCATATGGTATCTATATGTTTAACTTTAAGAAACTGTCAAATTGTTTTCCAAAGTAATTTTCCTCATTTTACATTCCCACCAGCAGTGTACGATAGTTCCAGTTGCTCCATATACCAGCACTCAGTATGTTCCGTCTTTAATTTTGGCAGTTCTGGCAGGTGTGTAATGGTGTATCATTATAGTTTGGATTTGTATGTCCCAAATGACTAATGATGTTTAGTATCTTCCATGTGCTCATTTGCCATTTTTATTTCTTCCTCTTTTTTTTTTTTTTTTTTTTTTGAGACAGGGTCTCACTCTACTGTTCAGGCTGGAGTGCAGCGGTGCGATCTCAGTTCACTGCAGCCTCAACTACCCACCCAGGATCAAGCGATTCTCCCACCTCAGCACCACCACCACCACCTCACCCACCCCGCCCCCCCAGTAGCTGGGACTACAGGCGTGCACCACCATGCTCAGCTAATTTTTTGTATTTTTTGTAGAGACAGGGTTGCACCATGTTCCCCAGTCTGGTCTCGAACTTCTAGGCTCAAGCAATTCGCCTTGCCTCAGCCTTCCAGAATGCTGGGATTATAGGGGTGAGCCATGGCACCTGGCCTATTTCTTCTTTATTGGATTGTATGTTCTTTTGCCTACTTTTTAATTAAGTTGTTTATTTTCTTATTATTGTGTTGAAAGCTCTTTATATACAGTATTCTGAGTACAGGTTCTTTATATGTTTGGATACAAGTCCTTTTTGAAGAAATTCACAAACTGATTCTAAAATTCATATGGAAATGCAATATCCCCAGAATAGCCAAAACAGCTTTGAAAAAGAACAGAGCTGGAGGATCAATGCCTCAACACTATCTGATTTCAAGCCTTATTATAAAGCTATAGTAATCAAGAAAATGTGGTAGCAGCCAGAAACAGAGTGACACATACACACCATACACAATTAATTTTTAACAAAGGTGCAAAGGCAATTCTTTGGAAAACAGGTAGACTTTTCGACAGAGTGCTGAAACAATTGGATCTACAAATGCAAAATATTAATTTCAACCCATATCTTGCACCACATACAAAAATAACCTCAAAATGGATCATAGACCTACACATAAAACAGAAAACAAAGACTGGAGACATAATTTGTGGGTCCTAATGCAAAATGAAAATGCAGGTTCCCTTGTTCAAAAATTACTAAGAATTTCAAGAAGGCAAGAGCACTAACCCAAGCATACAGCTCTTCTGAGTGCAGGACCCTGTGTGACTGCATAAGCTACACACCATGCAAGCAACCCTACCTAAGAAATATAAAAATTCTAGAAGAAAACCTATGAGAAAACCTTTGTTACCTGAGCTATGAAAGATTTCTTAGATAGATCCAATATCAAAAATATGAGCCATAAAGGAACAAACTGATAAACTAGACACCAACAAAATTTAGGGTGGGCATGGTGGCTCACACCTGTAATCCCAGCACTTTGGGAGGCCAAGGTGGGCAGATCACCTGAGGTCAGGAGTTCAAGACCAGACTGAACAACATGGTGAAACACCATATCTACTAAAAATACATAACTAGCCAGGTGTGGTGGTGGGCGCCTGTAATCCCAGCTACTTGGGAGGCTGAGGCAGGAGAATTGCTTGAACCTGGAAGGCGGAGGTTGCAGTGAGACAAGATCATGCTATTGCACTCCAGCCTGGGCAACAAGAGTGAAATTCTGTCTCAAAAAAAAAAAAAATCAAAACTTCTGCTCTAAAAGAAGATTGTGAAGTAAATGAAAAGTCAGTCCACAGACTGAGAGATATTTGCCAAAAATGGTAATACATTGTAACATGGTTTGCCCACTTATGTGCCAACCACTGTTCTAAGAACTTTACTGAATTTCTTTTACAGAGACCATATATATAATATGTGTATCTCATAAACACCTTATGAAGTAAATGCAATTTTAATCATTCCAAATATGAAAGGTATAGGAATTTAAGAACCCAGCTGAATGATATAAAACTAATAAGCAAAGAGGCCAAAATTGGGGCTTAGGCTGTCTCACTTCAGAGTCCATGCTGTTTATATCTCCTAAGGTAAAAACAAATTCCACTTATTTCTCCCCATTTTTCTGTCTTTTAATCTAAGGGGGGCTTTCAAAAAGTCACTTCTTATTTAAACCAACTACCTTTAAAACTCCCCAAACAAGGCATTTTTGACAGCCACATCTGCCCAGCCATGTTCAACGTACAACGTCCTCTTCCTACAAGCCTTTTCCAGGACCTAGCAAACTAAGGGGTTATCAGCATTTCCGGGACTAGTATCAGCAATCCAAGGGTAGCACAAGTAATTTTGTAACACTTAGTGCCTGATAAAGCAGCCTTGAGCTTGAATTGCCACATTGCCCAACTTACTCTTTGGGAGCAAGGGACAGTCCTGCTGCAGAGTACATAGTGGTTTCTTATGCCCTCAAAGAATGCATGTGCCTCTTTCTGTGACGACAAATCTACAGAGTGACCAAGGCATTGGAACATTCACGTTTATCTGTGTATGAGTACACTCACTGTTTCCCTGGAGGCTATGGAGAAACAAGTATCAAGTCCTAAAAAGGCACTGGGAATGAAGAGCACAATATGCTTCCATACCCTTGCTTCATGTAAACACAGGGTGACTATGACTTCTAAAGGCCTGGGTGTTGCAGTTCAGTGAGGGCCTGATTTAGTAGCTAGAATACATCTCAGGGAGGACAGCAGACCTCTTTGTCTGGAGGAAGGGTGTATCCATGACTCTGGTCATCACGGCTTTCTAGCAATTCTCCTATGAATGTTTCATTCTAGGTTCCTACTGAGGTATATTTTGGGAGTCTCGAGCATTTCCATGACAAAAGGATTTGGGTTAGCCCATTTTACTTTTACAAGTGCAAGTGAAACACTTTGATGTAAAAGAGTCACCAACAGACTAAGTTACCTTCTCTGCACAGTAGAAATAACATAGCTTGTAAGGTTTATCCAAAATCTGAGTGATAATTGGGTAAACTGTTTTGAATTATCAGTGCCAGGAATCTTCCATGATTGCAGCTTTGATGTCATGTAAGTGTCTATGTCTAAGAATACAAAAACATACATTGCATAGCCCCTAGTACTCTCTGGTTTCATGGACCAAAACGTGCAGGATTGTATTCCTTATTCCCATAGTATATGGTAGCACTTTAATTTTTTAATGTCTTCATGCCTTCCAACCTTCAAAACAAGGAGCACAGTAACTGCCTCTGCCTACTCTGCTAGCAGGATTTACGGATCACATCTTTCCTGGGTATTCTTGATCTTGTGGCTGAGGTACATTCCTTTGAAACCACCTCTTCCACCCCACCCCACACAGAGTAACTCAGTCTTTCTAACTTTAAGCCAGTCACACAGAGCATCTCCAACAAAACCTGAAACTTAGGCATTTGGCGCTTGTCACACCCAAGGCATGGCTTTCTGAGATTTAGCAAATTCCAAAAAGGTCGATATGATTCTTCCTTTGTGTTACGTATTCAAAACTTAAATTTTAATTTTAATCGTTAGGATATGTAAAATGTTTAAATGTAAGTGTGTCCTGGGCATATTAGCATAGTTTTATTTTGCCAAACAGAGGAAAGTCTTGGGTTTTGAATTTGGAAGCAAATTTTAAACTCTAGGAAAGAGAAAGATCAATGGAACAAAACATCTGTACATATATCCATTTATTATTATCGTCTGTGCTCATATGACTGGCTCCAAGATAATAGCTTACAACCAGTAGTGCTGGCTTCACCGACTTCCCATTTAAAATTACAACATTTTCTCTGTATTTGCATTAATTTAATGATGTATATGACTATGCCTGTCTTTAGAAGAAAGCCCTTCTGAGTTTCATAATTCTGATTTTCTCGATTAATGTGTATGTAGACCATCTACGTATGCACATAAATAAATGAGAATGGCACTTGTTTCCAAACAATTATTAGAAGCAGTAACATACAAGGATTAGGGGAGAGGAGGGTTATTGCATCTACCTGTGAAACCAGAATTAAATAGTTGCTCCTCATTTCATCAGGAGAAAGGAATGTGCTCTGGGGAATAGTGCGATAGTCATAAAGCACTGACATAGCTAAACAAAATATCTGCCTGGTGCAGGTATTTCAGTTCTGGGAATGGATGTAGAAAAAGTCCATATAGGGGTAGACAGGAAGAAATGAGGTCCATGTCTCTTTCTTTCAATTATCTATGAAAATGAAGACACCAATCCATGTCATGTACACGAATGAAGAAAATTCTTGGGTTAATTCATCTCCAAGCGTGTCTAAAGGTGGGAGGGTTTGTAGAGTGAAGGCACTCAAAATTCATTTCCCCATTGTCTGAGAATTTTTATGCACCTTTCTCATCTGAAGGGCTCAATTTTTTCTTGAAGGGTACACACAATGCTCCACCAAAGCTCATTGTGCAATTTTATTTTGAACCCTTGAAGGACAGCTTTTCTCTAAGAAATCTAACACAAAAACGCCCTTAATTAACAGGCTTTTTTTTGCAGGGTGGGGCCCAAGCGGGATCCCAGAGACTGGAAGTGTGAATTTTAATGCTTTGCTGTCAAAGGAGGCGACTCTGGACATTCTCATCACCTTATTTAAAGCGGGGTACGCTGACTAATACGTGAAGCTGTGCATTAATGGCCTAAATTAAGTTACAGGTATGAATTTTACATAAAACAGATTAATATTATATGTCATAATGGAATTTTAAATATTCCGTGTCCATGCATTTTTAATCTTTACGTGCTCTAATTGAATGCGCAAGGCAACTGCATTTCTTGAGCCCACTTTTGCATTTAGATGGGGTAAAAGAACCCCCCCCACGTTTTTGTTTTATTTATATTCCCTTCACCAAAAACCTGCATTCGATTCGGCATTCTTTTCCTTCTTTTTTTTTCTACTTTTGCTAAGCTTTAGCATTTTTTAAAAAGAAAACGGAAAGGCTACACATTCCATTCCATCATTATGGTTTCGGCAAATGTGAAAAGGCGAATAATGAAACGGAGGAGGGAAATATAGAACAGAATGAACGTGCCTTCTTGAACAGCGCGTCTTTCTTAAGGCACTGGAATCCCACGGATGGAGTGATGGGTGGCGGAGGGTCCCTGGGCGCCGTGCTATTAGGAGTGGCAGGGTATCCGCGAGCAGGGCCCAGGCGCTCCCTCAGCAGCCTAGTCGGGATAAGGGGGGCGGTGGAGAGTGAATTCCGGCCGCACATTCCCGCAGTTCTTCGCAGGAACTTCGCTCTCTCTTTTCCCCTCCCTTGGGCACACATCAGCCTGGCCCGACTCCCACTCAGCTCTCTTTTCTCAGAACCCCGACCCACAGCGTTGACGGAATGGAGTGCCCTTCCCATTGGCCCGAGCGTCATTCCCCGAGGTGGCACTGCCCGCCTGATTGGCTGGCCACTCCAGACCCCCCGCCCACTCCTCCACTCGGGTAGCCGGACTCCCCGCCCCCCAGCACCGCCCGGAGCCCCCGCCCTCGCCTCTCCCTCCGCGCCCCCGCCCGCGCGCCCAGCGGGCTCCGCTCGGCTCGCGCTGCGACCCGGCCCGCGCGCTGGTCCCGCCCCCGGGGCGCACGGCTCTATAAATACAGCTGCGCGGCGGGCCGGGCGAGAGCGTAGTGGAGGAGGCGCGGTTGTGAGTAGTACCGGGAGTGGGGTGATCCCGGGCTAGGGGAGCGCGGCGGCCGCGATCGGGCTTAGTCGGAGCTCCGAAGGGAGTGACTAGGACACCCGGGTGGGCTACTTTTCTTCCGGTGCTTTTGCTTTTTTTTTCCTTTGGGCTCGGGCTGAGTGTCGCCCACTGAGCAAAGATTCCCTCGTAAAACCCAGAGCGACCCTCCCGTCAATTGTTGGGCTCGGGAGTGTCGCGGTGCCCCGAGCGCGCCGGGCGCGGAGGCAAAGGGAGCGGAGCCGGCCGCGGACGGGGCCCGGAGCTTGCCTGCCTCCCTCGCTCGCCCCAGCGGGTTCGCTCGCGTAGAGCGCAGGGCGCGCGCGATGAAGGCGGTGAGCCCGGTGCGCCCCTCGGGCCGCAAGGCGCCGTCGGGCTGCGGCGGCGGGGAGCTGGCGCTGCGCTGCCTGGCCGAGCACGGCCACAGCCTGGGTGGCTCCGCAGCCGCGGCGGCGGCGGCGGCGGCAGCGCGCTGTAAGGCGGCCGAGGCGGCGGCCGACGAGCCGGCGCTGTGCCTGCAGTGCGATATGAACGACTGCTATAGCCGCCTGCGGAGGCTGGTGCCCACCATCCCGCCCAACAAGAAAGTCAGCAAAGTGGAGATCCTGCAGCACGTTATCGACTACATCCTGGACCTGCAGCTGGCGCTGGAGACGCACCCGGCCCTGCTGAGGCAGCCACCACCGCCCGCGCCGCCACACCACCCGGCCGGGACCTGTCCAGCCGCGCCGCCGCGGACCCCGCTCACTGCGCTCAACACCGACCCGGTGAGAGGCCGGGCGCCGGCCGTGGGCGGACGCCGCGGGGGATGGGAGGTTGGTGGCGTGGTGGCGGGACGCGGGCGCTCACCGTCCTCCGGGCAGGGGCGGGCCAGGAATGACAGCCCCCTCCCCCTGCTCCTCCGGGCTCCCCCGGGCCGCCAGCAGCCGGCCGGGCTCGGCGAGCGCGGGTCCGGGAGAACGCGCAGGGCGGGACTCGGGGCTGTGGGCGCCCTGGGCTGTCAAGTCCCGCCTGAGCCCGGAGGGGCCCCCCCGGCTACAGGCTGGGGTGGGGGCGTCGGCGCGCCAGCCTGATTTCCGAGGACAATCCAGGACCGTGTCGAGCGCGTTGTTTGCGCCTGCTAACCTTTCCCTTGGTGTTCGGTTGCTGTTCCAGGCCGGCGCGGTGAACAAGCAGGGCGACAGCATTCTGTGCCGCTGAGCCGCGCTGTCCAGGTGAGCGCGCATTTCCCGTCTCGGGTGGCCGGTCACCAGAGACGCCCGTCCCCGAGGGCTTCCGGGGCCAGGCACCGCGGTGTTCTTTGCCCCCAGCGTTTCTGAGAGCAAACTCCCAAGGAAGTAAATCCCCTCTCTCCCTGCCACCTAAGTAGCAAGTAAACCCGTACTTAGCCTTAGAACTCGAGGTTCAGTCTCGGTGGAGACGGGTCAGCCCTTGTCCCCGCCGTCCCCGTGTTTTTTCTGGTGGTCAGCGGGCTCTTCTGCCTTCCCTAGTTCCCGAGGGAGGGCACCCTCGTGGGCATGGGAGCTGCCCCGGTGTCCTCCCGTGCAGTCTGTCACCCACAAAGGGGGACGCGGGCAGGGCGCCGGAGTGGGTCCCCTCTCCGGGCTTCCCGAGGGCCGCAGCTGCCTGCTCGGCGCCTGGCCCGGCCGCGGGCGGGTGTTGTCTGACCTGGTGGTTTGTTTTGGGTTGTTGATCAAGCATGTCTTGAGTTTGGTCGGTGGCGCCAGTTAGTCTGCAGCGAGAAGGTTCACACACCCCCTCTATTCATTCCTCTTCCACAGGTGTGCGGCCGCCTGAGCCCGAGCCAGGAGCACTAGAGAGGGAGGGGGAAGAGCAGAAGTTAGAGAAAAAAAGCCACCGGAGGAAAGGAAAAAACATCGGCCAACCTAGAAACGTTTTCATTCGTCATTCCAAGAGAGAGAGAGGAAAGAAAAATACAACTTTCATTCTTTCTTTGCACGTTCATAAACATTCTACATACGTATTCTCTTTTGTCTCTTCATTTATAACTGCTGTGAATTGTACATTTCTGTGTTTTTTGGAGGTGCAGTTAAACTTTTAAGCTTAAGTGTGACAGGACTGATAAATAGAAGATCAAGAGTAGATCCGACTTTAGAAGCCTACTTTGTGACCAAGGAGCTCAATTTTTGTTTTGAAGCTTTACTAATCTACCAGAGCATTGTAGATATTTTTTTTTTACATCTATTGTTTAAAATAGATGATTATAACGGGGCAGAGAACTTTCTTTTCTCTGCAAGAATGTTACATATTGTATAGATAAATGAGTGACATTTCATACCATGTATATATAGAGATGTTCTATAAGTGTGAGAAAGTATATGCTTTAATAGATACTGTAATTATAAGATATTTTTAATTAAATATTTTTTTGTAAATATTATGTGTGTGTTTTTTTTTAATCTATGGGAATATTTCTTTTGGAAAATCATTTTTCAGCTCAATTACAGAGCTCTTGATATCTTGAATGTCTTTTCTGTTTGGCCTGGCTCTTAATTTGCTTTTGTTTTGCCCAGTATAGACTCGGAAGTAACAGTTATAGCTAGTGGTCTTGCATGATTGCATGAGATGTTTAATCACAAATTAAACTTGTTCTGAGTCCATTCAAATGTGTTTTTTTAAATGTAGATTGAAATCTTTGTATTTGAAGCATACATGTTGAAAATACACCTTATCAGTTTTTAAGTACAGGGTTTTATAGTGTAATATATACAGAGTAAGTGTTTGTTTTTGTTTTTCAACTGAGGTCAAAATGGATTCTGAATGATTTTGCATATGGGATGAGGAAATGCTTGGATCCTTAAGGAGTTTACGAAATCTGCTGTTTTATCAAAGTGAAAAAAAATTGCTTATTACTCTTCATTTTACACTAAAGCTTAATGTCACTAAGTTTCATGTCTGTACAGATTATTTAAATCATGGAAATGAAAAAAATGTTCTCTGCTTGCTACCAAAGGACAAACTCTTGGAAATGAACACTTTCTGCTTTCCTTCCTCCAAAGAATTAATAGGCAACAGTGGGAGAAAAAAAAGGCATAATGGCAAATCCTTCAAGCAGGGATAAAAGTCGATCTTCAAACATTAACTTAAGCAGACCAAAAATTCTGATGACCGCATCTAGATTATTTTTTTATAAAAATGATTTTCACTATAGCTATGTTACGCTAAGCTACTGTCCAATCTCTTGTGATGTGTAACTTTTACATGTGAATATTAAAGTAGATTTCTCTGTCTTGTACTGTGATTTCTGGTCTCATTTCTTTAAAACCTTACTCTTATTTTTCTTTTAAGGCTCTTTTTTCTCCTTAAGGAAGGTAATATTTTCTAGGTTAGATAGGACTATCAGGGTTTGTGAACATTATGCATTTAATGTTATGGGTACTTTACACACAAGTTAGATGGAATTTTTAGAGTGAAAGAATTAAGTAGGATTTAATTGGGTGCTTTGTAAATAGTCAACTGTGTGTATAACGTGGTCTGTTTGATTTTTAAAAGGAAAGGATTTGTTTCAGATTATACAAGAATAAAAGTATTATAGACCCAAGGGACTTCTTATGAGGTCAAATTCAGATATTTATATGAATATGAAATACCATGGTCCCTAGTAGTCAGTTGAAGTGGCAATGTCTAAACAGAAATGAACAAAACTAATGCTAGCAGGTTAAAATCAATCAAAATGTTTAAAAATTGATTCTGTCCTCAGCATGTTATTTCCTCAGCTCTGATAATTTACTGGTCTTGAGTATTTTGAGAATTTGATGTTGAACGTTATAAAGTCAAAGAACTGCTTGTTTAGATGAGGTTTATTTTTATTTTTGATATTATTCATTCTTGTCACACATCAAGAAGAAAACACTAGAGTGCTGCTGGAATTCCAAATCTGAAGAATTCTAACGACTGCATTCTTTGTTATTAAAAAGGGCACAATCCTTCCTTTTTATTTGGCAGTTTAATTTCAGTAGGAAGCATGTCACATGTGCACTGTTGGTTAGAATTATGCATCTGTCATGCCTGACTGCTGAACCCTACCTAAGCCTTTTGGCGCAGTTTAAAACTTATACTGGTGGACTGTGAACCTCAAAACAAATGGGTATTTTTGGGTTTTGAGGATAGATGTTACTCCTTAAAGTTTGTATTTGGGGCATGAAAAACTACTGAAAGAAGAAAAGTGCTACAGATACTACATTTCAAAGAGTTGGCATTTTCCCTTTGGCCACTCAAGCAGCATTTGATGTATCTAAAGAAACAAAGTCATTGTTTATTTTTTAAAAAATTATATGCAGTTGTACAAGATACTACATTCCATTGAAATGTTGGCTATGTCCTAACCAGGCAACCAGATAACAAAAACATTTTGAGTCTTTTATCTAGGTAGTTCTAATTATTCAGCTACTTAGTTTAACAAAGGAAAATATCCTGACTTCTCTCATTTCATTTGTAGACTTTTCATTGTATAGGCACAACCAAAGAGTCAGACTGGTTTAAAACTCCAGAAGGAAAAAAAGTATCCCACACAGTGGATGTTGTTTCTAAGAATGCTACAAAATCCTGACATCTCAGACATCTCAATGTTAAAGGAAGAAAAAAAATACCTTTTCATTTCAAAGAACTAATATACTTTGATATTGTGTAAACCTTACTCAAGTTTATTGTCAAGCTTTAACTGCCTTTTTAGAACTTTTTAAAATTTCGAGCCCACAAATCTATTGTATTAGTTGCCTTCTATAACAATAAATCTTCACTGAGCAAAAGGCTCTGGAGTTTGTGGTTTTTAATTGACTTTTACTGAGTTATGCAATTTTTCATTATCCAGAATGGGTCTCTTGATGGATCACCTCAATTATTTACAGTGTTTCTTACCATGTTATGAAAAGTGGCGATATGAATGGAAAGAAAATCTAGTTTGAATGCTGGAGAAAGCTTCTCTACTCTAGTCCCTGCTTAGGATAGGAAGCAATATTCCTAAAGAAGGCAGCAGGATGACGTCCAGGGAAAACTAATTAAAAAAAAAAAGTTAAACAATGCAGACAATTTATTTCACAGTAGTACAGAGCCAAATGAAACTGGCTCTGCCTTTCTAGCTGGTGCACTTTAATTATATATATGTTAATCAGCCTAGATAGCCTTTGGGTCTCGACAGGGCCAAACACCAAACCCTGCAGGCTTATGAGGAAGGAAAACCTTCCCGTTTCTGCTTTGCAAGTCCAGGAAATTAATTTAACCCGTCTCAGAATGAATCTTAATAGGGCTGCCCTCAGTAGGTATTCTTCAGACCCAGATGATTTCTTTCAATTACAACCCAGGATATTTTGCTAAAATATTAGTTATATTAATTAGAACCATTGCCCAAAAGGTTTTAGGATTGTAACTTTACTTACAGTTCTACCTTGAGCACTGATTTGATCGATACTTTAAAAGATATAACCCTTACAAACGAGAACTAATTTGTTCAAGGGAGACAACCCGCAGTCATATATACTTAATTGAAAATGCTCTCAAATTTGCTATGAATTTGTAAAGTGTGTTTTGCATTCAAGTGCCTCCTTCATATTTATTCATATTCTGGCTCCTGCTAAAAAGTTTTGCCTAAGTGTTAAAACTTAGGTCTCAACCACATTGCCAAAGGTTTTCTATACTTACCAAAGCCAAAGTAAGGCCATGGTGAGGCTGCTGGAGTTCCATCATTCATAAGTCTTCACAGTAAATCCACACATGGGATATGAAAAGAGCTGTAAAAATTGAAGTAACTTGAAAAGCCCCTCTGAGTCCATAAGAGTAAACACTTCAGTTTCTGGGGAAAGAAGAACAAAATGCATTATCTGTATTCCACTGGCTAAGATATAACTGAAGAGGAATTGAACTTAAAATGTTTAAATAAAGAGACCCATGAAAAATTTTCTACATGAACCCATGAAATTTTTTTTAATAAGAAACCTCACACTTTAGATGAGAATTTTCTAAGAGATTACATTAATATTAGCACAATATGCAAATTCCTGGTGAAACAAGGCACTATTATTTGCCTTTAGTTACTGTTTCCCAATTCTTTATGATATAAAATACCTATCAGGACTTTGGGCAGGCATATACAAGTCACATTTTAAAATGCTATCTTTTATTTCAAAGTTTAATTTCCGAAGGAAAGTATTGTACTTGTAGAGTTCTTCATGCAAGTTCATAGACTGTTTCTTAAGTATTTATTTAAATATCCTCTTAAATATTTTAAATGTTTTTCAAATACTACTTCCTTCATAAGGTTTAGCAGTTAATTGAGTGATTGTAGTTAAGTATGAGTGTGTATGTCTAAAAATAGTTCACCGACATACAGAAAAATATCTTTCAAAAGGGATTTTTACTCTAAAAAGTAAGTAAACTTTTCTCTATTTTCTCTCCTTTTTTAGTTCCTAAGATTGGGAATTTCCATAAAGGTGTACCTTCCATTTTTTTTGGACTGCTATAACCAACCATATTATGTTTAAGCATAAGGCAGGACCGAAACTAAAGAACAGGTGAATCAACTGTCATGTATATATCATCTCCTAGAATCTGGTTTAACCTCATGATTAATTTCAGAGAGAGCGAGAGAGAAATAGGGAAGTTCTTATTTGTAGGTCAAACCTCAGAGAAAGCCAGGAAAACAGACATAAACTTATAGACCAAAATTTTACAACTTACCTAAGCAATAATTATTGGAAACACTTTTCATACAAGTTTAACCTGAGTCCACAGCTGTAGTTAAAACAAAGTAGGGTTCTTTGTTTGAGACTTTTCTTTGCCTGTCCTGCGGTGCCTAACAAAGTAACCTTGTAAAATATTTGTTACTAACTGAACTGAATGCCCCCTTAAGAGTCTCTTCCCAGAGTATTTAGTCACTCCTTCTTTGCCCTTTCATCTGCATTGAGTTGCAATTGAGCTTAAGACCAATATATCTAACTGCGTCTGGTCCTCTCCACCTCTGAAAAGCAGTAGATTCCAGATAGGACTGATGGTCTTCCCCAAAACTGCCCCTCTTTCTGAATTCCTTATCTCGGCTAATGCCACCTGTCATCACTCAAGTCAGAAATCTGGGATTGTGCTTGACTTTCTCCTGCCCCATCATATTCAACTGAGCACAACAATTCCTGCTAACATTCTCTCAGATCCTCCCCAGCATCCCAGCCTCACTGCTACTCTATCAGTATCTGTATCTCCATTTCACATCAGAACTCGCAGTCAGCTCCTATTCTAGTCTCCTTGCCTCACCTTTCTTTATCTTCTCTACCTTCCATGTGCTCTAACTGCATGACTCCTCAACAGTCACCCTCTGCCTATGCAGGCAAGTCCAGTTTCTTGGAGCAGCATGCAAGGCCTCCTCGTGACCTGGACCTATGGATCCTTCAAGAGCCATTCCCTCCTGGACCTACAGATCCTTCAAGAGTCATTCCCAGCTGTCCTCTGTCTCTTCCACTTCTGGCTGTCTTCAAGCACACATGTTATGCTAAGATCTTGCCCCCTATATGCTAGACAGCAAAGCATGCTTATTTTGTTAGTCTTAACAGTGTATGCTTGATTTCCTGAGAGTTAAGAAGGGAGCAACTTCAGGAAGGACACACGTGGACTGTAGAACAATGCAGTGAAGGAGGGGGCACCTGTCCAGACAGCCAAACCACCTAAGTCAGCCTTGCCCACCTGTGAGTAAGAGCTAAGCCATCTACATTCAAAATGGCATCCTCTTTCACTCTTTCTTTCTTTGCGCAGTGTGTTACCCCCTGCCTTGATCTCGGACCCTCGTTCCCACTCTTGGCTGTTGCTAAACTCCTACCCGACCATCATTCAAGACTCAACTGTTACCTCTTCAGCAAAAATTATTTGATGCCTCCCCTCCTCACCCCGGAAACAGCATCCACGCCCCCCCTGCTATATTATAATTATTTTCACATGTCTGTGTTTCTGGTAGATCCCTGACCCTCCAAAGATTCCAGACCACAAGTACTAGGAGAACATTCCTGTAACTCTTTATGCCAGCAAATCTAGCAAATTCTTTGCAGCTCAAAATTGCAGTGGAGAGATTTTTATTATCTTTAAAAGCCTTTGGCTGCCTTAAACATGGAAAACAGATAAGCTGCGTGTTCTTGAGAATGAAGGAGTGTGGTCAGCCTAGGGCAAAGAGAGTTTAAAGGAGAGACTGAGAAGGGGGGAAGAGAGGCAGAGAAGATCCTGTATCCCCAGAAAAAAATTAAAAATAAAAGAAACAGTACTGACCCATGTTGGAATAAGGAAACAAAGACACGTCAGTGCCTGAGATGAAAATGTGGGGTAAGGGGAGATGACTCCCACTGACGTAGGTTGTGATGGGTCTGAGCAAGCAAGGGACTTGGTAAAAATTGTACAGTTAAGTCTCTGCGTGTGTTTCTTTACTCTCGTGAATTGGTGAAGTGACGTGGGATGGATCAGTTACAATTCATGCAATGAATCCTCATGAGTCAGTCTTGAAAGGGCAAGCTTGCTGCCTGAATGGGAAAGCCTTTCACAGATAGAAGTTTTCATTACCCCTACCATGATCTGAGGCCCTAGAGTGGAATCATATAATTAGAAACCTGGAGGCCGGGCACGGTGGTGGCTCATGCCTATAATCCCAGCACTTGGGAGGCCGAGGCAGGTAGATCACTTGAGGTCAGGAGTTCGAGAACAGCCTGGCCAATATGGCGAAACACCGTCTCTACTAAACATACAAAAATTAGCCGGGCTTGGTGGTGGGCACCTGTAATCCTAGCTCCTAGGGAGGCTGAGCCAGGAGAATTGCTTGAACCCAGGAAGTGGAGGTTGCAGTGAGCTGAGATTGCACCACTCCACTCCAGCCTGGGTGACAGAGCAAGACTCCATCTCAAAAGAAAAAAAAAAAAAGAAAAAAAGAAAGAAACATGGAATATGTCTAACAACATTCCTCTCATTTTTCAGGGAAGGAGACAGAAGCTGAAAAGGTGAAGTGATAAGAGTCAGATCTAGAACCTAGTTTCCCCATCTCTAAGCCAAGGCCACAAAGTTCAGTGTGGATGGATTCTATTTTAGTTTACTCTTCAGTGGTTTATCTTGTTCCCTATCCTAATCTACAACTTGCCTCATGTTCTTTCCTAAGAAGTGGGGTTCAAATCTTAAGCAAATAATTATTAAATGCTGGACTGATCTGGCTGCCTTTTAAAACAGAGAGCAGAGATAAAGTACTTTAATTACAAGGATCAAGAATTGCAAAGCTCTTGGACAAATGAGCAAAGGCAATTCAATGGAGAAAGGATGGTCTTTTCAACAAATGATGCTGGAAAAATTGGACGTCCACAATTAACTTAGGCACAGACCTTAAACCTCTTACAAAAGTTATCTCAAAATGGATCATAGACCATTACATTTTAAACATAAAGTGCAAAACTGAAAATTCTAGAAGAAAACACGGCAGAAAAATCGATGCGATCTTGGATTTGGTGATGAATCTTTAGATATAATACAACATCAAAAGCACATTCTACGAAAGAATTTCAACCTGTGTTGTCCTCCACAATTATATCCACGTGTGTGCACAGACCTACCCTTCAGTCTATGGGAACAGTGTAGAGTGGGGAAAGGGCAGAGACTGTCCGGCCAAGCCAAAAGACTTGGGTTCTAGTCAGAGGCCTGCACCTCGTTAGCTGTGTCCCCTCAGGCAAGTCACTTTTCCAGATTCCAATTTTCTCATAGGTAAAATGAGTATATAATAATTCTAACCTAGCTCAGGTGGTTCTTAAAAGAGAAAAAGAAAGTAACATACATGAAAATATTTACAAGACAATGGTTATAATTTTGGTATATATAAAAATCATCTGGGCCAGGTGCGGTGGTTCATACCTGTAATTCCAGCACTTTGGGGGGCCGAGGTGGGTGGATCACCTGAGGTCGGGAGTTTGAGACCAGCCTGACCAACATGGAGAAACCCCATCTCTACTAAAAATACAAAATTAGCCGGGCGTGGTGGCGCATGACTGTAATCCCAGCTACTCAGGAGGCTGAGGCAGGAGAATTGCTTGAACCCGGGAGGCAGAGGTTGCGGTGAGCCAAGATCACGCCACTGCACTCCAGCCTGGGCAACAAGAGCGAAACTCCATCTCAAAAAAAAAAAAAAAATCTGAAGAGATGACTTTCTGAATTCCACTAATCCAGGTACCCCCCACCACTGAGATTCTGATTCATCAGGTGTGGGGTATGACACAGAAGTCTGCATTTGAGCTTTCACCTGGTGAATGAGGCAAGTCTCCCAGGAACCATTGAGAAACAGTATTGTAAGCTCCAAAATGGTATGTAGGTGTAAGCTATTATTGTTATGCCACACACGGTGTGTTTCTCCTACTCTTCGACACCAATTTCTAATTTTCCAGGAGCTCTTATCGAGTAAAGAGAAAAGGTTAATATAATATCAACAGAAGTGGCAATAACAGCTCATGGGAAGAGGAAGTTGGTAACAGGAGATGCCCAAGAGGGAGCTGCTGCATACATGAGACCTTGGAGTGGGATCCTGGGACAGGTCTAGGGTCAAGATGTTGAGTCCTTCATACCCTTGATCTTCATTCCAATCTAGCTATGTGTCAAAACATTTATAATAACCCACTTTGTTCTCACACGCAATCATTGTTTTCTAAGCAAAAACCTAAAAGAAAGAATTTTTTTCACCCTCTTATATGTCCTTCCAAATCATTACCTTCTCTCTTTACCTCTATGTGATGTTTGGAGAAGCTAGTAGGCCTATATAGGTAGCCATGAGCAGCATTGCTTTAATGGTAAAGAGATTCTTCTGGAAAAACAAATTTAGAAAAAAAAATTTCATTTCCCCTAGTGTAGTATATCATCCTAAGGGATTGCCTACAACATGATGTAGAAAAAGAGGCTAAATGGTCTTATCTCAACTGCTGCATTTGCCTTAGAACTATCCTAATACATGGCTATCTAACACAAAAATACTAAATCCATGTAAAATTGGGATATGCTGTAATATAATAATACCTTAATTTCATATATTAGATTCCTTCTTCATAGAATTGTATACAATTTTCATGAATTAAAAAACAATGAAGAATAACTTCAATTCTTCCAAAATTGAATAAGATCTTTTATAAAGGAAAAATCAGAAAGTTTGCAGAATTAGATTCTGAGCTCTAACACTTACTGTGTGGCCTCAGGCAAGTTACTTAACCTCTCTGAGCCGTTCTAAAACTTTCTCTTATAATGATGACACAGTACTACTCAGCCCTGAGAGTCTCCCCTAACACAGTGTCAGGCACATGAGCTATTCAGTATTTGTAAGTTCCTCCCCTCTAATCATTTCTATCTGTATTCATCCTGCTGCTTCAAGGAGGTAGGTTTTCAGCAAGTCGCATGCTTGCTGAATAGGGACAGGAATGATTAGCATGTGCCTGCCCTCTTCCAGTATGAAAACAGGGTTAAGAAGAATAGAGGAGCAGGGTGTGTGTGTGTTCACTCCATATGGAGGACAAAGATTTCAAAAATGCACAAACATTTCAGGGAGAAGAGATTTTTAAGCCTTCCCAGTGCAGAAGCTATTTTCTGTTTCATTTATTTCTCTTCAGAATAAACCTGAAGTTCTGTGCGCACCGAAGACATAAATGACATAAATGTTGATGGAAGGAGAAGGATTTGAGGAAGGACGAGAGTCTGAGGAACAAGAAAGGACTGCAGTAGTGAAACAGCAGAAGAAACGAGGTGACGGCCTCCAGGAAATTAAAAGGGGGCCTTATATCTGTTGATTTTGCTGTTAACACGGTCAGATGGGATACTTGTTTGCTTTTTGATCCATTTTCTGATAGTTAACTAAGTGCTGTAGGACTGACATAAATGCTGAGGATGGGACAGAGGGAGGAACTCTACACATGAACTCCCATATTCAGGGCCAAGTCATCGGGCTACCCTAATAATAGTCTCCTGGTAGAAAACAATTCTGAAAACGAAAGACATAATAACAGAGTGGTACACAGTATGCCATGTGGTATTTAAGAGACAGACTAAGGTTGAAAACAACATAAAATTTATGTATTTCTTCATGACTTAGAAAAATGTACCTTTTATAATTTATGTTTAACATAATTTCTAGTGGCTATGCTTCCCTATAAACTAAAGCTGAGATTAATTCAACAGGATGGAGACACCAGTATTTGGGAGTTCATTATGTTCTTTGCAATAATTCAATGAATCAGAAAATAATAGAATTTTGAAATAAAATCCAATTCCCTCATTTTACCGAAAATGAAACTGAGGCTGTGACGCTTTAAAATATGCCTTTTGAGGCTGGGCATGGTGGCTCACTCCTATAATCCCAGCACTCTGAGAGGCCTAGGTGGGAGGAGCATGTGAGCCCAAGAGTTCCAGACTGTCCTGAACAACATAGCACAACCTTGTCTCTATAAAGAAAATTTAAAAAAATAACCGGGCATGGTGGCATGCGTCTATAGTTTCAGCTACTCAAAAAGCTAAGGTGGGAGGATCACTTGAGCCCAGGAGCTCAAGGCTGCAGTGAGCCATGATCGCGCCACTGCACTCCAGCCTGGGTGATGGAACAAGACACTGTCTCTACAAAAAAATAAAAATAAAATAAAATGTGTCCTTCATAAGATGACCTAACTTAGGGGCAGAGCTGCCAGCAAAATTTCAGGGCTTCCAACTCACAGTCAAGGAGACTTTATTGAGTTCAGTACATAGTAGAATCATTTATATTATCAGAGCATTTCTTTTTTTCAGTATTTATCTTAGGAGTTGTTTCTTTTAAAAATTCCTATTTGTTCTGATGCATATATTTCTTTTTTTTTACAGATCATTTTTCTCTTATAAAAATTCTGTAAACACAGCCATTCTTTCTGTATTTGTAATTTGAGGACCGACTGGAGTTATTCCTGAGAGGGCTATGTTCCTGAGAGAACAAAATTATTGTTTTTGAAACTCTAGAGAGAACTGCTCTGGCAAAAGAAATGTATCTTTTCATCTACAGTCATTCTGAGGTGAAAGATCTCATGATCACTCTGGACTATACAACCCACAAGCAGACTTCAAGGATACCTACAGGAACCCCAGAAGTCCTGATTGATCACACAGGCCCTAAAGACCCTATCAACTTGTTTATCAACTTGCAATTCTAATTTCCTGAGAGTAAAACACCAGTAAAAAATAATCTCCTCCCTCAATATTCTAGAGAATGCAAAGAAATACACAGTCACTGTAGACCTGTGAGCTTTTGCCAAGTTTGGTTTTCATTATTATACATATGAAGAGAATCATCTTCGCCAAAATCTATAAAGGGGCTGATTAACTCAGCTCTGTAGTAATTGTTTCATATTAAATCAGTCCAAAAGTTTAGGGCATGTTTCTCAGGAACTCTTTATCTAGCATCAGGTATGTATCTAAACAGTATAGTATCTGTTAATTTTGAAGTTATATAAAAAAAGAAAATGTGCATTTTCACACGTCTTAGTAGAAGCTCTTTACAGTTTATATAATCCAATGTTGATAGAGTAAAATTTTTTTATTCTTTCCAGTAATCAAAAAGTAGTCAAAATAAACAAAAGTTTCAACTTTTAGAGGTATCATTTTTTAGATTAGATTGCTTATATGGTTTGATGCTTTCTTAGAAGGTTGAATGATTCTAAAATGCTTTTAAGAAAAACATCAAGAATAAAAAGAATTACTTAAAACCAGGTCAAATAAAAAAAGATTATCAGAGATCTCATAAGGCTTGCAATATCATTTCAAGATTTATTTTAAAAGTAAGATTGCACTTTGTTCACTATTCTTCCCCTGCCAAAAGACACAGAACTTCCTTGTGAAACTGTGTTTAGGATCCATACCATAATATCATCTTTTCCAGGAAACTGAATCATAAAGAGGTCTATAGGGTGATCCTAGGAATGAAATCCCAAAATTCCGCAGGATGGGGCTAAGGTTTGTATTTTCAACCTGAGAACTTCAGGCTGCTTCTCCTTCAGCAACCTCCTCCTCTTCTCCACTGCAGCTCCCCCCAGCCTCCCTGAAGTCCCAGGGAGCTGGGGCCTGTCCTTCCTAACACAAACTTTCTTTCTTCTGGAAGTGCTGGAAAATCTCAGAGAGACTCACTGTCTCCCACATCCTGTAAATTTACCCAGGAGAGAAGCACTGTGCACACTTTGTGAGGAGGGTCGCGCTCATTGGAGAGACTCGGTGAAAGCAACGAGGAGACTGTACAAGCACACACGCAGCCTCTTCACCTCACACTCCACAGCTATTTCTCATGCACTCTGGCCTTAACTTTGCTGACCTTGCCACCGCAAGGTTTTATATCACTAAATAACAGAGCACGAGGCTGCCATGGTGGACAATCTGCCTGCACTTGCCCCTCCACATCACCAAAGCTCCTTAGATCCCATTCATCAAATATTTGCTTTTACACTTAAACACACAATTTATGAAACACAATTTCTGGTTCACCTAACCCTTGCATGACGTGAGTTTTGAAAAACCAGTAAATTTTCCTGCTGACATTCCTCAAGTTACACGCTTTCCTGGTCCTACAGGCAGTGCAAGTTATCTGCTGCCCTCTTTTGAATTTTAGGGCACACTGCACTCCTAAATAGGGCCTATTGCCTGAAGACAGCCTCTTTTCCCTGTCTAGGGGCTGCTTCAACCTTCTGGCTAATCCAGAGCCTACTGGAACAGCACTTTAACTCCCCTTTTGAGTGCTACTTTCTCTGCTGGTGTTCTTCCAAAGCAAAAGCAAAACCAATTTTATGAAGCAGCAAAAGAAGTATAAAGCATGCTATTACTTGTTCTTTTCTTTTTTCCCAGCTTATTGAGGTATAATTGACAAATAAAAATTCCATATATTTAAGGTATACAACTTGATGTTTTCACATATGTATACATTGTAAAATGATCATCGCAATCAAGCTAATTAACTTATCCAACACCTGATATCATTACCATTTGTGTGTGTATGTGTGTGCTGACAACACTTAAACGCTCTACCCTCTTATCAAATTTCAAGTATACTGCACAATATCATTAACTATTGCCACCATGTTGTACACTGGATTTCCAGAACTTATTCATCTTGCGTAACTGAAAATTTGTACCCGTTGACCAACATCTCCTTACTCCCCCAGCCTCTCCCCATAACTACCCTTCTAAACCTGCTTTGATGAGTTTTACCTTTTTACATTCCATATATAAGTGAGGTTATACAGTTTTCTGTTTCTGGTTTATTTCACTTAACATCCTCCAGGTTCATCCATGTTGTCACAAATAGGAGGATTTCCTTCTTTTTTAAGGTCGAATAATATTCCAGTATGTATATATACACTACATTTTCTTTACCTATTCATCCATTGACAGATGCTTAGGTTGTTTCCATAACTTCGCTATTGTAATTTCATTTCTTATCCGCCTGCCCCCTCTGGGCTGATCTATTAATTCCCCTAAAGTGTCTGCATGTAGTTCTGTTGATAAAGATACTGAAATGAAGAAGTATGCCAGAATACGATTTGCAAGCCTGTCCAGCTGAAGATAGCCATCCTTCCCAGACAGTAGAGGTTGAGGTTCTCACAGCAGTGACAGGTCACAGGGACATAGGCAGCCCTTCTAGGAAGTTAAACCTGCTGGGCTAGGCACGGCTCATTAACCCAGGTTTTGTGCAGACCTCCCCAACAACTGCTCTGCTGCAATGGGAGCATTCTCCAGTAACCATTGGTACCATGGCCCCTCCCTCAACCCCTCCCTCATAACGTCTCCCTGTGCTACCCTGACGTCCCTGGATAATCAACGCTCCTATTTCCTAGTGCCTACCAAACACGAGAAAGAACAGGTGAACATGACCCCTAAAAATAAAAAGAAAGAAACTATTGCCAACTTTTCCTCAAAATCATGCGGGGTTTTTTGGAGGACAAGAAGATAGCAACAATATAGTGCTGAGAAAAATCATAATATTGTGTCTGGAATTGGTGGGTTCTTGGTCTCACTGACTTAAAGAATGAAGCCGCGGACCCTCACGGTGTTACAGCTGTTAAAGTGGCGCGTCTGGAGTTCGTTCCTTCTGATATTCGGATGTGTTCAGTTTCTTCCTTTTGGTGGGTTCGTGGTCTCGTTGGCTCAGGAGTGAAGCTGCAGACCTTCGCGGTGTTACAGCTCTTAAGGCGGCGCATCTGGAGTTGTTGGTTCCTCCCAGTAGCCTTGTGGTCTCGCTGGCTTCAGGAGTGAAGCTGCAGACCTTCACGGTGAGTGTTATAGCTCATAAAAGCAGTGTGGACCCGAAGAGTGAGCAGTAGCAAGATTTATTGCAAAGAGCAAAAGAACAAAGTTTACACAGCGTGGAAGAGGACCCCAGAGGGTTTCCACTGCTGACTCGCGCAGCCTGCTTTTATTCTCTTATCTGGCCCCACCCACATCTTGCTTACTGGTAGAGCCGAGTGGTATGTTTTGAGGGCGCTGACTGGTGAGTGTACAATCCCTGAGCTAGACACAAAGGTTCTCCACGTCCCCACCAGATTAGCTAGATACAGTGTCCACACAAAGGTTCTCCAAGGCCCCACCAGAGTAGTACAGAGTAGATGCAGAGTGTGGATTGGTGCATTCACAAACCCTGAGCTAGACACAGGGTGCTGATTGGTGTGTTTACAAACCTTGAGCTAGATACAGAGTGCCGATTGGTGTATTTACAATCCCTGAGCTAGACATAAAGGTTCTCCAAGGCCCCACCAGAGTAGTACAGAGTAGATACAGAGTGTGGATTGGTGCATTCACAAACCCTGAGCTAGACACAGGGTGCTGATTGGTGTGTTTACAAACCTTGAGCTAGACACAGAGTGCTGATTGTTGTATTTACGATCCCTGAGCTAGAGGTAAAGGTTCTCCACGTCCCCACCAGACTCAGGAGCCCAGCTGGCTTCACCCAGTGGATCCCGCACCGGGGCTGCAGGCGGAGCTACCTGCCACTCTCACGCCGGCACTCCTCAGCCCTTGGGTGGTGGATGGGACTGGGTGCCGTGCAGCAGGGGGCGGCGCTCATCGGGAAGGCTCGGGCCGCACAGGAGCCCACGGAGCGGGTGGGAGGCTCAGGCATGGCGGGCTGCAGGTCCCGAGCCCTGCCCCGCGGGAAGGCAGCTAAGACCCGGCGAGAAGTCGAGCGCAGCACCGGTGGGCTGGCACTGCTGGGGGACCCAGTACACCCTCCTCAGCCGCTGGCCCGGGTGCTAAGCCCCTCATTGCCCGGGGCCGGCAGGGCCGGCCGGTTGCTCCGAGTGCGGGGCCGCCAAGCCCACGCCCACGCGGAACTCCAGCTGGCCTGCAAGCCCCGCGCGCAGCCCTGGTTCCCGCTCGCGCCTCTCTCTCCACACCTCCTTGCCAGCTGAGGGAGCCGGCTCCGGCCTTGACCAGCCCAGAAAGGGGCTCCCACAGTGCAGCGGTGGGCTTAAGGGCTCCTCAAGTGCTGCCAAAGTGGGAGCCCAGGCAGAGAAGGTCCCGAGAGCGAGCGAGGGCTGTGAGGACTGCCAGCACGCTGTCACCTCTCAGTATGACTGAGTCTAAGAATGTCTTATCAGAAAGTTGATTTCTATTTTTCTATGGCAATCTCTTTGTCTATCTGTCTCTCACAGGCATCTTTGAGCTCCCCCGACTCCCTATAGATTTTTCAGCTTGATCATAAAACATCATTCCCCTTTGACCTGTCTCTTTGCCATAGTAGTCTCATATTGCAAATGGCCATTACCTGGTCATCGAGAGGGAGGAGTGATCTCACTGCAGCTCCAAATAGGGGAAAAAAAATGAATGGCACTGTCCTTCTCCCAGCAAAACAAATGCTGAAATTGTCGGATGGTCCAATCAGGCCACTAGAAGATTAAAATGCACCAAAAAAATACAGACGCCTTCCCAAACCAGTGGGCAAATGTCCCTCTGTACACAATGGCCAGCTTCCTGGGTGACAACCTGTGCAATTGAACAATGCCCTGAGCATTGAAGGGCCCACACTTAGTTTAATGTTCTGCTATCACTGTCTTGAAATTCTTACTAATTTTATTTAACGAGGGGCCTGCCTTTTCGTTTTGCATAAGCCTCAGATTATGTAGCTGGTCCTGCACAGCATTGAGGAATAGCTCAGTCCTGAGGCATCCGATTTCCAACTGCAATGGTGGGTTTTTCACTGTTTATTTATTTTGGGGATGGGATGGCATGTGGTTTGCCTGGTACCTGTTTCGGTTCTCTTAGCTAGAACGCCTGCTTGTTGGGGCAATGCTGCGTGGCTGACTGGCAGTTACAGTCCCAGGGACGACAGGCTTGGTCAATCATAGAAAGTGAAAGTTTCCATGGAGAACCGTGTGATGCGCCTGGAAGGAATCATCATGGCAGGTAGAAAGGTGCTGAGAAATTCTGCACGGAGGAGATAGTTCAGTAAAAAGAGAGGTTCATAAGCAACTCCCAGGAGTAATCTTGTTGTGTCTAGAAGGAAGAGACAAGAAAAGCCATTTCTTCCAGATTCTTCCTTTTCAATTGAAGCCACAAGGCCCCTGGTGCACACTCAGCTGATGTTCTTTATGTTTCCTACTGTTTACTCTGAATTCTTCCTGAGGTTTTGCAGAGAAGCACTACATCAACACAATTTCTTTTATTACGATGCCATGTCATATCATATATCTCCTGTTCACATTAGGTTGACATGGTGCTGCGTTTGTGGATGAGCATATATGGATACATATTATCACAATCACTACAGAATAGCATTTATTGAGTGACCACTACACTATTAGATGCTGCAAACCGACATGTGAGAGCACAAATAACAATTTAATAACAGAAAAAAATGACACTCCTTCTATTTAATCCAACTTGCAGAAAAACAAAACAAAATAACTACTCCATATTTCCTCTCCATGCCTGCTGTACGGTGGCGAGAAAGACCTCTAAAATGCATAAAGCTCTTATCTTCGTTTATTCCCCAAAGAATAATAGATCAGTCAGAGCTCTGATGCTGTTTTAATAATGTACAATTTACAATTCATTGGTTACCAAGCACTCACAGTATAATTAATTTTGCAGACCTGTTCAGCAAATCCACATGGTTTTGTACAATATAGGGAGGAGGAGTGGTGGCAGTGGTGCCAGGAGGAGGGGGGCAGGAGTGGGGAAGGACGAAGGAGAAAACTGTCTTCTCTCCTTTTTCTTATTGAAGTAGCCGAGTCCTGCACCAGCTGGGCAGATTGGCAGATAACTGCCATGGCTGAATGAGAGACTCAGTCTGAGATAACAAATATCTCCCCACCGAAAAGTTTACACCAGCGAAAACCGTGGTCCTGCGGGTACCCTGTTCAGTCTCATGGGGAGATCACACTAAGGAAACCTGCTGACCAAACCACAGAGCTACGTTAAGCATCTCTCTTCCAGAAAGGAAGTGATCCCCTCACAGACTGGAGTTGACCCACGAACTGCAATGCGCTTTAGGAGTCTGGCAGCTCTAGGGATCAGCTAGTTTTCTCAAAGGTGGCATTATTTCTTTCTTTCCACACCTCCTCATTTATCAGCATATCTCTTGTGTTCTCCTCTTTCTCTTATTGGCTGTCTTTGCTTCATCAAAGTTTCTAATCCCCCTACATACAGCCCACCAAGGCCTCCTGCCCCAACTCTGCCCTAAGCAGCCCCCTTCCCATCATCTGAATATATGTCTTAGGATGCTTTTGTTCATATTTCCAAGAGAAAATCTGATTGGCCCAGCTAGTCTTTTTCTGAACAGGGTTATAGGTGCTGTTCAGCCTGAGGGTTTTCTGCCCTTCTGTAGGGTACCCACTTCTATCCCCATCAGCTGTGAGACGGACAGTGTGGGGTCACAGGATAAAAAAGAGGGGCCTGGGACTGCTCCTCCATCAGTAACTCTGGGCAAGGCAGGTTCTGCCCAGAGACACTCTGTCTAGGCACATGCCACAATGGGGCCAGGTGCACCTCAGACCCAAGTCTGTCCTTCAGGCGGCAGGGCCACGTTCTTGGGGCAGGCCCACAGGGGCCTGGAAGGAGGCAGAAAACTGCCTGCAATTTCCCCTGATTTTCAGTGTATGTTTCCAAGTTTTTCAGTGTATGTTTTCCAAGTTTTACCAGCTCCTAGACTCCTGCTAACCCTCTTTGAGAACTATCCTCAACATACACGCCCACACATACACAGGCACCCATGGGCACACACACGCATAGGCACCCAGACACACACACACATTGGGACTTGGCATCTCCTACTCTCAATCAGTCCCTGACCTCTGTCTAGCTCTGAATCTGCTCAGCTTTTCTTTCTATAGGGCTCTGGTACCTGTTCTATGTCCTCCCCAGCATCTGACCTCAGCCAAAATTGTTTTTTGCTGTGACTCTCTTGTCACATCAAGTGCCTTGAAGGGACTCCCATTTTCTAAACCACAGAGTCTATGACAGATGGACAAACACGTGTTACTGTCAGGGCATGCTGGGTCACAAACGATACGGAGCTGATGTCTATCAACTGTCTCATGTCAGTTTACTCAACAGCATTTGGAGTATGATGTTTGGCCAACTTCTGTCAGAGTTACGAGGGCCTTCCTGTTGCTGCCTGTCACCCAAACACCTCAAATTCTTAGGGTTTGCTTTGGTTTATGGCCAAAACATAGTCTTCAACCAAAATAAGCTTAATTTAGGATTCACTCGATCCTTCTTAATATTTTCATATTCATCCCACTCTATCTTTTTGTGAAATTCTTTTCCCCTTGATCATTTTTTCATGTCTGACCTAATTTCTCCCTTCAGTCTTCAGGATCTCCTGATAATCATTTATTCCATGGCAACTCCCTGATCTACCCATATGGCCCAGCAGGGTACAGTTTATTTTATTCCTTAAAAAGATTGCCTTCAATTCTGCACAGTCACATCTGACTGTTGTTTTTTTTTTTGTTTTTTTTTTTTTTGAGGCAACTGTCATGGGCATCCTAAGTGCCCCTGAAATAGAAGACCCTGATTTTCACTGGGAAGCAGATACATGTGATCCCTTAGGGGAAGATGGAATCTTTTCTTACAGTAAGCAGGCATCACAGATAGCTTTATGTGTGGGCAGATGGGGACCCTGGTGCAAATTTATAAAGTGCTGGGATGACTCATTGATTTTCAAAAGACCCTTCTGCCTATCTCCTAACTAAATGGTTTCCTATCACATGGGGAGGTTTAAAAATTATGGATGCCAGTCACTCACTGGGATTAATGAAGTCAGAATGTCTGGAATTGGGGTCCAGACATGAGTATGTGTTTTAATTCCCTAAGTGGTTCTAATGTGTACCGTTGTTGAGAACTCTTCCTTAGTTCAGTGGTTTATAAACTTGGCTGCACATTGGAATCACCAGGGAGTTTTAAACAATACACACGCCTGGGTCTCATCCCTGGAGATTTTGACTTAATTAGTCTGGGTTTTGGCCTGGCCATTGATAGTTTCAAAGCTCCCCAAGGGGTTCTAATATGCAGCCAAGATTGAGAACAAGTACCTTAATGAACAACCTGAAACTTCAACATTGGGCTATCTAGGTAGCCTGTATTTTTACTTGCTAATCTTGGCCAATCCTATCCAGAAGGTTTCCAGAGAGCAGGTTGTGGGAGGGGAGCCTGGAAAAGGCACACAGACATGGAGACCCTGCGAAGAGGGCATGAGGAACACCATGGAAAGACCACAAGACGAAGAATGTTTATGCCAAACACAAAAATTATTTTTGGCTATTGAACTCCTCTAAGTATGCATTCTGCCACATGTTAGAAGCAATCAACAGAATCTCCTCTCCCAACAGTTTAGATGGCAGAGGGCATTGTTGGCTAGAATCCCACAAAACTCCACTGAGACCATCGCCAGCAGCAGACAGCTTCAGTTTAGAATCTTATACCTGCCTCAGCAACAACTAGGAAGAGGTATAATCCACAGCTAATTTACTAACATTCTAAGTTTTTAAACCTAGCATTTGCTATATTTAGAATTGTAAATTTGTGAACATTCTAAATATAGAATTTAATCTGATCTCAAAAGGGAATTCAATTTTACTCAAAGGCCTGAAAATATCTGGTTTTGACTTAATGGTGATAGTAAGCTGCTTCTAGAGAGGCAGAACAAAAAAACCTTCAAAACTGGGGAGAGACAGGAGATAGGAAAATAAGTATGATAAAGCTTCCCTAAATCCCCAGTAAATCTATTTTAAGGCCTTGTATTATTTTATACCTTTTCCCCCAACCTCCACATTAATTCACCTGTCATTTTTTCAAGGACATTTTACATTTCACTTTTCCTTTGCTTCTACATCTGTAGATACCCAGGGAATTTCCTCTCACCCAGTTTCCAAAACTTTTCCAAACCAAATGCACTTACACCTGGTAATGTGTAATGCCAGTATGCCTAGGAGAACTGGGTCTCTGTCCAGAAATCCTTCCGTGGACTCCTGAGATGCAATACACATCAACCTATTAGGTTACCAGGGTCTAGAAAATCAAGTGTACTTAGGGACATTGTTTCTGTTCCACTTCAAATGATATTGAGATGGTTCAGTCTGGCTGAGCATGAAGTCAATATCCCAGAAGAGTATGGAAGTATTTCTCTCACAGATTACCTGGGTACGCACCTGGTTCCCTGTCAGGTTCTCCCTGGTTCATTTCCCTAAAATTCTCTCATCATCATCTCACTGCCTCATCCAGTCACTCCGGGAGTGACCCTTTCCCAGGCACCTTTGATGTCATTCGACCCTGGGTCTGACCACTGCCTGAGATCCCCGTCACCCTGCAAGCCCTATCTTTTTAAAATGGAAATGGTATTGCCTTTCCAGAGATCATCTAAAAAAGAATTTCAGGAAAGTACTCTTTGCATTCCAGCATAAGTAAAGAGAGTGGAACTCTTCTGCAGCTGGGCAAAACCATCTAAGTGTTAAAAATAAGAGACATTCTTCCTCCTTTTTGCACTGGGCATGCCAAACCTCCCCCTCACACAGTCACATCTCAAGGCTGTAACTCAGCAGATATGAGCAGTCGGTTTGCAATGACAACATCAGGTACCAAGGCTGTTCAGTTTATCCATCTCCCCAAATCAACTTTTTACAAGATCTCTTCCCATGTCTCCCTCTGCATAAAATTAAAACCCCTGGAACTCAGAGGAGCCAAGCTAGCCACCAGGAAGCACACACTTGGACAAGTAAGGAGCTGCCAATCATTTTAAGACCTGTTGGGCAAGCTTATCAGGTTCCCGATTCCTCCAGTATAAAATGCCTGGCGGTTTCAATGATCGAGATAAGCACAGCTGTAATCTACCATGATCCAGAGCTTATTCACAGATCACAGCTGTGTAATTTCAGGTAACATGCTTCCCTTGTTTGGATTTGTTTAACATTGTTAAATATATAGTCAGACCATCTGCACAGTATTTTTTTTAAATTGGAAATTACAACCATAACTTCCTTTTTATATATCAATAAACTAAACAGCAAAATTTCAAAGGGATCCTTCTGCACCAAGCAGTGAAGCAGAATGCCTGTCCCACGCCACACCACTGCCTAATTGCACACTAATTGGACAAACGTGATTAAATATTTCAAGATCTTTACTAATTGCCTCTATTTTAGCTTTAAAATTTGCTTGCCACCAACAAATTTAATGACACTGGTGTCTAGTCATCAGCAAAAAGCCCAAGAGTTGCTCTTTAAAATGTACCTAGTCAGAATATTTACTGATTGTGCATTGTTTCCAATGTAGCTTAATTAGAAATCCAATCAGTTCGCTAAGTCTAATTATACTTGATTTGTAGATTCAGACTATGATACATAATGAAGCCAAGCAGCTAACAGTAAACGTGCCTGAAATGTAACAATAAGAGAAATATTTTTTAATGTACGTCTTGTCACTTTAGAAAATCAAGTAATACACACGATCTTTCACGATGGGGATTTTGGAGGTTTGAGCTTTGCAAAGTTTCCATGAACCAGATTCCAATTCCACTGGGAAGAGCTGCTTTGAAAGATGATGGCCAGAAAATATTTCTATGTCTCCATATTAAAGATTAAAAAGAAAAAAGAAACAATTGCTTTCTTCACACTGACTCTGTGAGAGACTTTTGTGGCATTATTTCACAGAAGTTGATTTGATGAAACTGATATGGTTAAAATAGATACATCTTATTTTAAAAATTATCCTCCCAGAAATTTGATTTAGCTATCTTGGAAAATGCCTTATCCGATGCCTAAAAACCACAATGCTTATATAAGCAAATATTCAAATTTGTGTGGGCATAAGTGTGTATATACACAATATTTTACAAGAGAAAACATTTCTATACATATTATCGTATGCCTGCAATAATTTGCAACCAACTGTTGCTGTGTGAAGACAGGCTAGGTGAGGTGGAGAAAGGCAAGAAAGCTTTATTATTTTCAATGCGGATTAAAATAACAACCACCATTGACTCAATCATCCAAATAGTTTGAGACAAAGCAGTATTGAGAGAGCCCTAAATACCCCTCACACTATGACCCAGAATTCAAGCATCTCCCTGTTGGCATTCGGCACACAGACATGGTGTAATCACTAAATGGGTTTGATGCTGAAAACTGGACATCTCACCTCACCTTGCAATTGTCATCTGCCAAAAAAGGCCATGTTTGGGAACCGTAAGGATGCTGGTGATAATGCTGGTTCAAAACAAATCTCCAGAGTCAAGTTCATTTCATTTTCATTTTAAACACAGTGGGAGAAATCAATAGGTGAATCAGAATGGGTATAAAGGAAATGCAATTTCTAAGCTTTGGGGATTATAATATAAACATAATAGAGGATGACTCAAAACAACCTGAAACTCTAAATTAATTACTGTTGACTGTTCAACAATAGACTATTACTTTAGCATATTTATCTTTCTTTTAATGGAAAACTTATCATTTTCTAACAACATAGCCTAACAGAAACATTGAAATATTCTTGGCTGAGAAATTCTGTAGAAGTGCAAAATCTGAGCAGTTGTAATTTTTGCATTAAAAACCAACCATTTACACGCACATTCTGTTGTTGCTTTTAAAAGCTTTGCAGGCCAGGCATGGTGGCTCAGGCCTGTAATCCCCGCACTTTGGGAGGCCGAGGCAGGTGGATCACTTGAGGTCAGGAGTTCGAGACCAGCCTGGCCAACATGGTGAAACCCCGTCTCTACTAAAAATACAAAAATTAGCCAGGCATGGTCGTGCATGCCTCTAATCCCAGCTACTCAGGAGGCTGAGGTGGGAGAATCGCTTGAATCCAGGAGGTGGAGGTTGCAGTGAGCAAGACTGCACCACTGCACTCCAGGATGGGCAACACAGCAAGACTCTGTCTCAATATAAAATATAATAAAATAAAATATAAGAGTTTTGCAATAAAATTGCTCCATTGTGTGTGTACATATGCACACACACACATACGTCTGCACAGACACCCATATGCAAAATTTTTAAAGAATTTTGGATGAATTCCTGATTTTTCTTTTTCCTTTTTTTTTCAAAAGCACTTCATAGCATGTACTGAACCTGGAGAGTTTTCCTTTGCTTTCAGTTCTTTGCCTTCTGACATGGGTCCAAATCAATGTAGCTTCTAGCCAGGACCTTTGTTTATACTGTGCCCTGTGTAGCTCTTACTTTTCCCCTGTACTCTGGTGTAAGGCCTTATTGATTAATTTCTCAGCATTTAAGCAAAATGCTAAAAACAGAGTTTGTTGGTTGATTTGTTTTTCAATCAGAATTCATCACACTGACCTTTGGGTTAACAGAGAAAGTCCTCATTGGCCTCATTTGAGCATAACACTATAGAAAGTCTCTTCTTGACCTGTCTTCCCAAGGACGGATTGCTTTGGGAATATTGCCACCTGGATTATCCAGCACAGAGAGGTATGGAAGCAGGGACAAGACACAAATCTTATTATTTCTCTAGGCTGAAGCAGGCAGGTCTCACCACCTTCCTTAATTGATTGAGGTGAGAGAAAAGAAGATGTAAATACAAAATCTAGACTCTCCTTCAGATCAGCTATTCAAAAGCAAAAGTTGGCAACCATATTACCCATTTAAAAAGCATGGTTTCTGTATGTAATTGTCATGAACTGAAACAAAATAATTTTTTTAATGTTGCAAAAAATAATAAGAATATAGAAAAGCATATCTTCACGAAGTCCTAGGAGATGAGCTAAGAAAAGAACCTCCTGGTGCAGTCTTCTCACTTCTAAATGTCAGAGAATTTCTAAAGGAGTGTTTTGTTCCCTTTTTTCCTCACAGCTTAGTTTTATCTTTTCCTCTTCTTATTAATAAGGCCTGGCCCCTCGTTAACATGCAGCCGGAACCTAATGAGCCTTGCAGACTCCTGTAATTTCTTCACTGTTGAAAATGCCTGACACTAATCTATGCCATTTATACTAATAAGAGGTGGATCAGCTGATATTTGGTGCAATGAAAATATGCTAAATATACTTTATTGAATTGCACAGAGTTAGTTCTTCCCAGTTCACTGTATTACGGCAACAGATGCACAGTCATTACCTCTGCGCTCTATGTGTGGCAAAACCTTTGGTTTGAATAAATAAGAGAAGAAGGAGCCAGATACTTGATATGTTAGCTTCCTTTTTTTTTTTTTATTTTCATGCTGACAATATTGACTTTCAAACTCCCACCTCAGAAAAGCCATCTTTTAGGTGATTTTCAAAGCACAAATAACAGTGCTTCCTATTGAAACGGCAATGAACTGAAGATCTGACCTAATCTACGATATTTTATATGACGTGGACTTTAATGAATGCTAAATTTAAGTGGATTTTGCATAGAGCTTATCAATTACATCCATAAGGATCCCAAAAGTATGAATCTTGGTGATTCATACCTTTCTAGTGAATACCAAAAAAAGTGCCCAATTTTAATCTATGTTGAATATCTTGTTATTATTATATTAGGCAAAAGCAACCTTTTAAAATTTTTGCATTACCAGTCTAATTTTTTTTGATGACTCTGTCGTATTTGCGTTTCTTCTCTTACTTGAGAGGCACATGACTGAGGAGACAGACTGCAGGTGTTAGTAAATGTTTCCAACACTTATGTCAATACCTGTATTTGGCTCAGACATCACAAACCAGAGGGTGCTTTTTAAAACCTTATTTAAAATCTACATATTTATTCAAAACACTCAGCTATCGTTGCATCTTCTGAGATGTGCTGTGAATAAGATAGAGGCTTAAGGGTCCTGAACTAAACATTTATACCTGTGGACCCACAATACATAATAGCCTCCAATAAGTGAATTCCCTAGTAAGTAAGTTCACCAGGGTAGGATTAGTCTTTTGAGGGAAGTTGATTACATCATTAAAATTTCTCATTAACTATGCTCATATTTGACCAAAGATTTAGGAAAAGGATAGTAAAACAATTCAGAAGGCAGAGACGAGGTGAAAATGTCAAATAGCATCCAAAACCTCAGTTCCTCCATGATAATAGTATTTTTCTCTTAACAGGACTTACATTTGAAAATAGTCGCAAGCTATTCAATGATGAAGAAAGAAAACTGTAATACGCATTGCTATTTAAACATATTTCCCATGTACCCACCTGGTAGCCAGCACTCTTGACTGTCTCCTGACCAATATTTTCTTGGAACATGTTTCATGTTTGTCTGGGCAGTATATCTTGCACTTATCCACAAGCATATTTCTTTCAGATTTCCAAATGTCCTCTGATTTATCCTCTAAGAGAATCATGAGTCCCTTCCATCTATACCTCTTCCCTTGGACAATTACTTTATCTGTGCCTTCTAGAATCTGTTGTCTCTTAACCTTTGCCAGCACAGGTGCAGTAACTCCCCAAAGATTAAGAGTCTGATTGTAGGTGTGATTGAAATTTGCTTGGCTTCCCTTCAGAATCCAGTGCCCTAGCCTACTAAATCACCTCCTATAATCTTGTGCACTTAGGCAAAGCAAACAAAATAATCTGCCAGGAAACACTAATGGTGGAGTGTCAACACAGACATCGTTTGTATTAACTGTCCTATTATTATTGCCCTGCTCCTTAAATCCAATCAAACTTCAATTCCCATTCTGCAGGGGCTGGGTGTTAATTAGAATGAATGTGTGTTTGCATGTACCTATGTGCACACACACATGCCCCTTTGTATACCCATATACCCCTCACGCATGCATGTGTGTGCCCATGGATGCAGGTCTCATTACTAATTAATTTAACTTCCAAGTGCTGCCCCGTATTTCCAATTTGTCGTTCCAATGCACAAAAGCATATATTCTGCATGCATGTCTTCTGCCCCAGATCTCGACATTTTCTAACAGATGTTAGCTAATGTGGTTGTAGAAGGTTCACTGTGGATGCTGCGAGCCCAATAAATCTTCCTCTTAAATGTAGGCACTCCACCATCCCAGCATCTTATACCTATAATACATTTTAATTACTTGGTTATTCAAGTTATACTAAATTAGATTTGCACAGAACAACACCATGGATTTCTCAATTTAAATTTAATCCGCCACAAACAACCTAAAATCGGCAAGTGCGCTTTTATTAGAACTTGCAGGAGCCACTGAAGTCTGATACCTTTAAAATTATTAAGTGACAAAGATTACTAGCACTAAGGTTCTACTTTGCTTCCCCATTAGCCATTTAGGTGACAGCTGCTGTATTACACATAAAGATGAACCATTCCTTGAGGGATGATAGTGGCTCCGCTCTGACACTGCTGGCATAAAGCATTATCAGACCATGGCTGAGCTTGGAGCCACCGAAGTCTCCTAGGCACCTATCAGTACCCTCATTATCTGCATCACAGAGTGCCGAGAACGAACACTGCCAGGCCTCACAGCTTCGCAGCTCATTTGAGAAGCGGAAATTAAATGTCCCAGGAGAGAAAACAGGCACACTGTAACAGCATCGGCGCTGTACACCAATAACATGTCGACCGCTGTAGCACTGACTTCTATCTCATTAATTTAATAGGCTCCTGGAATGAGGATGGGAAGGTAGAGAGGCAGCCTTGACAAGGAGATTACTGAGCAGCGCCGGCATTGTGTGTTTTGCGAGCTCGTAACAGAACGAGGACTTGCTGGAGGTATCACAGCTCTTCAGATATTTGTTGGGGCTTTTAGAAGCGCTGCACAGCAAAAAGAAATGATGGGTGGGAGAGAGAAAAAGAGAGAAGGGGAGATCACAGAACAGGAGCAAAATTAGCTGATCATAAACATGATCTATGTTTATATTATGCAGCATTCCAATGTAAGGTGAAGAAAGCGAAGAAGGCTAGAGATAAAGGCACTCTCTGCACACAGAAAAAAAAAAATCCCTGATCGTGTGTGTGTGTGCATGTGTGTTGGAGGAGCCTATTGAACAGAAGCCTTTGCCCTGATGAAACTGTTTCTATAGCACCATTTTCATAAAATTCAGAAATGCTTTTGCTGCAGAAATATCAGCTCCTTTATGACCAGAGTGACACCAAGCAAAACAAAGCTAAGAGCCAAGAGACTATTCGGATAAGTCAGACCAAAGAAATTTTCCCTTAAGCAAAACATGATGGCTGAAGTCTCCAGGTGATGGAAACAACAGTGTTTTTTCACCTGGAATCATCAGATCATGCTCTCAATTCTCAGCCGGGTAGACCCACCCTTCATATAGGATTCAGATCCCTGCTCAACCAGAGAGAGGCAAGACAGTCAGACTCCAAGATAATCAAGATAGATTTTTGTACACTGGATTTTTATTTTTAATAACTGTTCTCCATCGTTGTCATTTGTTTAAAGGCCTCGAGAGAAACAAAGATCAAGAAATCCAGTCTCCTCTACCTTTTGACATTGCTGAGAATGGCTCTTTGTGTATTGGTTAAAGGAACAACAAGGCAAGACGTGGTGACTTTTGTGGTTATGAGTAATTAGCAATGGTATTTATAGCATCCTGGGTAAATCTCTGATCAGTGTGATCTTTGTCTTCATGCTGCAGCCTGACAGAATTACAGGATAGTGGAAAGAGTGCTTGCTGTTTCCAGTATCAGGGAAATAGGTTTCGTATACCAGCTGCAATATTTACTTGCTGTGTGTCTTTGGGCAAGTCACTTTACCTCTCTGAGCCTCAGGGGTTTTGGGTTGTTTTTTCTGTTTTTGTTGTTGTTGTTGTTTTGTAAGTAAGAAGAGAGGACTGACACCTCCCTCTTCACCTGGCTGTGAGAATTAAGATAATGTAAATGAAAATCATTGGTATGGTATGCTAGTGTTCAAAGTTGTTTCATCAGATCAGACCCTATATTACTGATTTATCCTCCTCTGTGTTCAAAAATAGATTTCTGAGGGAATACCCACTGTAAGGGAGGAGGGGAGCTTTAATAAAGAGAGGCAACTAATGAAAAGCAGGGGGTAGCATGAACAGAGAGGCTCTTTCTATCGTACATCTGGCTCCCAGGGGCCCGTTTTTCCTGGTGGGGATGTTCTCAAGCTGCATCAGTCATAGGTTGCTTGGGGATCTGAAGAATGCTGAGGACCTCTTTGCTTAGAAAAAAATTCACTAGTGCTTATAATTTCAGAGATTCACAGACTTCCAGCCATGGACCCCAGGTTAATAAAACTTGTTACAGAGAAAGGGTATGTTGTGAGACTTTATGTGATATCAGAAGAGAAATCAACCCAGTCCTCCACACACACACACACACAGACGCATGAACACACACATGCGCGCATGCACACACACACACTCTCTGGATAATCCAAGCCCTTTTTTGTAGTGACGCAAGTGAATTACAGAGTTCTGAGGATCACAGGCCATCAGCATTCTCCTGTTTCCGATTTTGTGCGAAACCCCTATCCTTTTCCACCTTTAGGATGAGGATATACTTGAATGTTGAACTCCTGAAGGCTTGAGGCCAGTCCTCTTCCTGGACCACTGGAATGTCAGGAGCTAAAATAGCTCCGTACCAATCACCTTGATGGACGGTGAGCTGTGGCGAGGACAGCTGGGGTGTTTCTGTCTTGTCAGAGTGTCCCCACCTTCAGCAAGGAGCTGGGGTTTCACCTACTGAAGACTGGCCCCATTTAGTCCAGTGTTCGTCTCTGGTTCTTTTCCCAGCAGAAGACTAGATTCCTGACCCCCAGTTCAGACTTGGAAAACTGGAACTTCTGCCATGTCCAGTCGCCAGCCTCTTCTGCACATCCTGCTCGCCTCTCCCAGACACTTCCTATTCCTATTGCTGCCACCTGCCCAGGTAGCCTGTCCCATCTGGTGGCCTGAGGGCAGCACAAAGTCTCTAGATACTAGCTGGTCCTTTGTCTGACAGGCTCTGGACACAATGGACACTCAATAACTATTCTTAAATAAATGACCTAATAATATATTAAAGAAAAGGGATGGAGGAGGAAGAGGAAAAGAATAAAAGGTGGACAGGGGTTAATAGGGGCTTGGGTGGGGAAGAAGTGTCACCACAGCTGTCACCTGCTAAGTGTTAGAATAAAGTGACAATCTCAAAATGTCATACTACTTTTTCCTACTCCACTTCAAATACAAGTTTCCTGAATATTGATGGGAGTGGAGGAAGACAAGAGACGACGCCCTACAAGGGAAAGCCCACAGAGGACACTGTGGCCATGCCTCCCCTTCCTACATTCTGTCCTGTTCCCCTGGCAGAAGGGAGTTTGTCATTCATGAGAGCATCATGACCCCACTAAGAAAGGGTGATGCTTTCCCCAACATGTATCAATCATGCAATAGTAGACCTGCTTATTACTTGCAAAGGGAATGTGTTCCTTCAAAGCCCTCCTTGAAGACCTATAGAACAGCCCCCAGGAAACTCCCCACACTGTACATGAAAATCTGCTTTGCCAGAACGTGTCTCCTGTTCCACATAAAGCTCACCTTGACCCACAAAGTTATTCCTCCTACTGAAAAAAAATAAGGGGAGGCACTGTGACTACTTCTCATTATTGCAGAAAAGTTACAGACTCCAGATAAAAGACTGCACTGCTCTTTGTCTATGAAACCTACCTGGAAAAACAGAAATCTGATCAACCAACCACGACTGTATGGTCTTAGAGACACACTTGCCCTGAGCAGGATATTCTGTCAGAAATTAAATCCAGGTTACCTATAGAACAAACAGACAAGCATCTGCAATGACAACAGCCTGACACTCTAACCCAGTGGTTCTAAATCAAGCGTAGTTGTGCCCCCTAGGGACATTTGGTAATATCTGGACACATTTTTAGTCGTCACAACCAGGGGGTGCTACTAGCGTCTAGAGGGTGGAGGTCAGAGATAACCGAGAAACCCCCTACAATGCACGGGACAGCTTTCCGCAACGAAGCATTATCCAGCCCAAAATGTCAATAGCGCTGAGGTTGAGAAAGCTCAGCCTAGTTGAGGTGAACTACACTCACTAGTTCTTTTGTTTGTTTGTTTCCAGCAACATTCTACCCTTCCCATCTTCTTCACTTCCTGGCTTCTCCTGCCTCATCTACCATATTTATTTCTTTCTCACGCTCTGACCCAGACTTCAGCCAAGCTCCAAGCTATATATATACAAATTTTGACCCTGACCCCAATTTTTTTTTCTTTTGACTGTACCACAGTGACTAAAATTTCTACTTCAATCATGCATTGACATAAAAGAGCTTAACATATCAAAGTTCTCGCAATAGGAAAGCTTCTGCCGGGTGTAGTGGCTCATGCTTGTAATCCTAGCACGTTGGGAGGCTGAGGTGGGCGGATCACTTGAGGTCAGGAGTTCGAGACCAGCCTGGCTAACATAGTGAAACCCCGTCTCTACTAACAATACAAAAATTAGCCAGGCATGGTGGCACGTGCCTGTAATCCATCTACTCGGGAGGCTGAGGCAGGAGAATTGCTTGAATCCGGGAGGCAGTGAGCCCAGATCGTGCCATTGCACTCCAGTCTGGGGGGCAAGAGCAAAACTAGAAACTACTTCTCAAAAAAAAAAAAAAAAAGCCTCATAAACCACTTTCAGACATTTGCAATGAAAGGTCATTTCTAAAGTCTAGAAAAGACCTGTGGGAATGGGGCACCTGGCTGAAAGCTTGTGATAAATGGCCATAGATCTGGGAAGCTTTGAGTGCACAGTGGCTTTTGAGAGCAGGCCTAGATATTATGGCACAAGGTGTGGTCCTTAACAGCTGGGAAGTGGTGTGAGGAATCGGGGAGCTAAGGGGAGAGAGAAGGGCCAAACAAGAATGAATAAGGAGAGCCCTTCTGAAAGAAAAAAAGGAAACTAAGGCTACATTGAACTTTATGCAATTCTGCCCATGGGTCATTGGCCCAAACACCTGAACTCTTGCGCCAGAAGGAACTCACCTCTCCGTCCTCCAATGTGATTCTCCCCCAAACCTACACCAACACATTCCTCATTTTTCTATCCCAATCTCACTTACTCCACAAAGCCTTCTTTAACTAATTCTATTTTCACCTACATGCTCTCCACAGTTAATTGCTCAGTTGGTTTTCTATTCATTTCCACTCATTTTTAAAGGAAATTCTATCACACTAAAGCAGCTTCTTACAGGACTAAACTTCTTTGTGTTGACTTTCCTTCTTTTTTTTTTTTTTTTTTGAGACGGAGTCTCCCTCTGCCACCCAGGCTACAGTGCAGTGGTACGATCTCAGCTCACTGCAACCTCCGCCTCTCAGGTTCAAGTGATTCCCCCTGCGTCAGCCTCCTGAGTAGCTGGGATTACAGGCGCCCACCACCACTCCAGGTAATTTTTTTATTTTTTAGTACAGACAGGGTTTCGCCATGTTGGTCAGGCTGGTCTTGAACTCCTGAACTCAGGTGATCCGCCCTCCTTGGCCCCCCAAAGTGCTGGGATTACAGGCGTGAGCCACCACACCTGGCCAACTTTCCTTCTCATAGTTAAAATATCCTTCTGATTTGATTATTACACATTGTTTACAGGTATCAAAATATCACTTGTACCCTTAAAGTGTGTACAACTATTATGTCAATAAAAATTCTTCTACAAAAATCTTCTTTTTGGGGTTAATTTCATGATACAAAAACCTAACACCCTGTCTGATGGTGATAATCTAAGATAGGTATTATGAGAAAAGAAGGAAAGCATTGCCTGATAAGTGTCTACTGTGTGTCAAACACTGTGCTAAGCATTTTAAATACCTTATCTCATTTAATTCACTTAATAATTTTGTAAAGCAGATAGTGGTATCCAAGTTTTTAAAGACATGGAAACTGAAATCAGAGAAAGAGTATAAATTGTGCAAGATCATACAATTGATAAGTGGCAGACTGGGCTGAGTTTTAACCCTAGAAGAATAACCCAAAGGTAAAAGATTTGCATCAAATATCTCTGCCTTCTCATGATGTTACATTATGGATCTATCATTTACTGACCTAACTAAATATAATACACTTTTTATTTTGGCATAATTTTAGATTAACAGAAAAGTTGTAAGATAGTAAAGTGTTCCCATATAACCATCACTCATATGCCCTTAATTTTAACATCTTATGTTACCATAGTAATTTTTTTTGTTTGTTTTGTTTTGAGACAGAGTTTTGCTCTGGTCGCCTAGGCTGGAGTGCAATGGTGCAATCTTGGCTCACTGCAATCTCCACCTCCTGGGTTCAAGCAATTCTCTTGCCTCAGCCTCCCAAGTAACTGGGATTACAGCTGCCCGCTTCAACACCCGGCTAATTTTTGTATTTTTTGTAAAGATGGGGTTTCACCATGTTGGCCAGGCTGGTCTCGAACTCCTGACCCCAGGTGATCCGCCCGCCTCGGCCTCCCAAAGTGTTGGGATTACAGGAGTGAGCCACCGTGCCCAGCCACCATAGTACATTTTTTAAAACCATGAAATTAACATTACTAAAAAATTATTAACCAAATGCCAGACTTTATTTGGATTTCCCCAATTTTTGTAGCAATGTCCTTTTTCTGTTCTAGGATCCCTTTTGGGGATACCACATTGCATTTAGTTGCCATGTCATCTTAGTCTCCTCTGGTCTGTGACTGCCTCAGACTTGCTTTGTTTTTCATGACCTTGGCAGTTTTGAAGAGTACTGGTCAGGTATTTTGCAGAATGACCCTCAATTTGGGTTTGTCTGATATTTTTCTCAACAGTTAATTGCTCAGTTAATTTTCTATTCATTTTCACTCATTTGTAGACTAGGATTGTGAGTCTTAGAAAGAGTATCGTAGAGTGAGATGTCCTTCTCATTACATCATATAAGAGGGGACATGATATTAACATGACTTATTGCTGGTGATATAAATCTTGATCATTTATTAAAGATTGTGCCTGCCAAGTTTCTCCACTATAAAGTTGCTATCTTTTTGTTTCTCATGCTCTATTTTTTGGAAGCAAATCCATCCCATACTTCTCCAGGGGGAGAGGAATTATGTAACCCTCACTGGAGGAGAAAGTATCAACCTACAGTATTTGGAATTCTTCTGCAAAAAAGATTAGTCTCTTCTTCCCTAGTTATTTATCTGTTCAATCATTTATTGTCAACAGTGTGGACTTGTGGATACTGATTTTATTCTTTGGGCTATAATCCAATACTATCATTATTCATTTTGTTGCCATTTATATATTTAGCCTGCATATTTTTTTTCAGAAATTAAAGTCTAAAATGTTCTCATCAGTCATATTAGGTAGAAATTATTTTATTTATCTTAAATGTATATCTTCCCAGCTTCCTCCGTTGTCCCATAGTTCTGGGATTGTGAGATTTGCTCCAGGGCTGCCACACTGCAGAACTCCAGGGGGTGCTGATCACAATGTCAATGATGCATGGTGCCCCCTGCTGTTGTGCAACATGGAAAGACAGGCCAACTCTGTTTCGCATGATTTTATACAATTTCACCAGATACCCTCCTTTCAACTTTCATTGTTTCAGATTAAGAAGAGTCCCACTTTTTCTTTACCACAACACTATCAGACATAAGCTCTATTCATAGAGACATACATTCTCAATCCTGAAAATTCAGATTTCAGCCTTTATTTGCCACATAGATCAACTTTAGTCTTGCTACTGGGACCCTGATGTGTGGGTGTCTTCTTCTAGAATGTTGCTTAAACAAAGTTGCAGTTAGCAGGTCTTTATCCATCAGTTATTGAAGGAGCTGTTGCTGGTGACTGGAGTGGAGTAGAGGGTGGTGGAGGGAGGAATGGTGAGGAGGGGTCAGCTATCAACAGATGGCAGTCTGTAAGACTGGCTTTTACGTTGTAATAGGCAGTGTGTGCAAATGGAAGTTGATATGTTATTGCTTGAATTATTCTTCTCTGTTCTCCAAGTTTGCTATATTTTTCTTGAACTGTGCAGAACTATACACAGGACACATAGAAATACCTAATGGTTTTGAGGACATTTCTACTTTCTCCTCAACCATCTTCTTTATGTGCTCCAAAATGTATGCATAGGAAGCTGTCTGATCTGTGGGATTTTTTTGTTTGTTTGTTTGTTTTGTTTTTCATTTTTTGTTTTTGAGACAGGGTCTAGCTCTGTTGCTCCGGCAGCCGGATCACAGCTCACTGCAGCCTTAAACTCCTGCGCTCAAGCAATCCTCTCACCTCAGCCTTGATCTGCTGTTTTGAAGGAATAATCTACAGTTACCCTCAGATCCATCTCTTGTGCCAAGGCCTATCTTAGGTGCCATCACCCCCAAGAGGCCTCTTGAGACCTCTCTTTCAGCTTAGGGCCCCCTTGGGGTGTTGGGGCCCCCTTGAGCTCCCTGACACACTGTCATAGCATGTGCTTTCCTGCTGATCTTCCCCGCTGGACTGTGAGATCTGGGGGGCAGGGACCTCAGTACCTTGTACGATGACTGGAACACACTGGGTAGTTTTACATATAAATGAAGAGCCAATGGTTCATAGTCCATCAAGATTTACCCACAGTGAAATTCATCCACTACATTGTCCCCATATGCTCAGCTGATAAAAACAACCTTACAGTTTCTAGGCATTTACTACTCATAAGAACTCAATATTATGTGGCTATGTGGTAATTTTCCTGTCCATTTTCTCTTACAGGTAATTTTAAACCATGTTATATAATTATAAACCAAGCAGAAGTCTGGGGGCTTCTACAACCAATAATTCATACGGTGATGTATCAGCTTAACTTAATCTTTTGTTTGCTGCTCTGAATAATGATTATTAGTAAATAATTCCATAGTAAAATCATTCTTATTTTAGAAGACATCTGTTCCCCTTTAATAGGTCAGCCCTCCCCAAAGAGGAAAGGATTGGCTATAAGAGCCCTCTGCTATCTTCCCTTCCCATCAGCCTTCACCCTTCAAATGAGAAGTAGGCAATTCGATTTAAAGTAAAAAAGAAAGGTTCCTGTTTAAAAGTATGTGTGTGATTAAAAAATATATATAGATGCATATCTATTTTATTTTTTAATATAAAGAATTAAAAAATTTAAAAGTGTGTGTGTGATTAAAAAATACACATATGCATATATTTTATATTTTAGAGTGGTTTAAATTTAACAACAAACTTGAGTAGACAGTATAGAGATTTCCTATATACTCTCTGCCCCCACATGCCCAGCCTCCACCACTATCAATATACCACCAAAATGGTACATATATGAATCTACATTGACACATGCTTATCAGCCAGATGCCATAGTTTACATTAGGGTTTGCTCTTGGTGCTGTACATTCTGTGGGTTCAGACAAATGTATAATGACAAGTACCCACCATTTATATGGTTTGGATATTCTGTTCCCTCCAAATCTCACGATGAAATGTGGCCACCAGTGTTGGAGGTGGGCCTAGTGGGAGGTGTTTCAATCATGGGAGTGGATCCCTCATGAATTGCTTGGTGCTGTCCTCATGGTAATGAGTGAGTTCTCATTCTATGAGTTCGTGCAAGATCTGGTTATTTAAAACAGCTTTCCTGCCCCTGCGCTTGCCATGTGATATGCTGGCTCCACTCACCTTCTGCCATGATTGGAAGCTTCCTGAGGCTCCCCCAGGAGCAAATGCCAGCATCATGTGTCCTGTACAGCCTGCAGAACCGGGAGCCAAAATATTCCTCTTTTCTTTATAAATTACCCAGTCTCAGATATTCCATTATAGCAATGCAAACTGACTAATACAGATGGTGCTCTACATCTGTGGGTCTAGACAAATGTATAATGACATGTATCCACCATTATGGTATCGTACAGAGTCTCTTCACTGCCCGAAAAGTCCTTTGTGCTCTGCTCATTCATCCCTTCCTCCTCACTAATCCCTGGCAACTGCTGATCGTTTTACTATAGAGAAAAACGAAAAATTCATTTTTCTTAGTGCTGAATTCATTGTCTGGATATACCACAAAAGAAAACTTTCTGATAAAGCATGACACACTTATAGTGAAGTACACAAACCATTAGAGCACAACTGGATACATTTTCATAAAATGGACACTCCTGTGTAGCCAGCACCCATATCTAGAAGCAAATCATTTCAGTACCACAGAAGTCCCCTGCTGCCCTGTTCTAGTCAATGCTCCCAAAGGTTAACCAGTGCCCTGTCCTCTAACATCATAGATTAGTTTTCCCTGCATAAAGACAGTTCAGAAGTGGACTTTGGAAACATTTCTTTTCATGAGAAACCTAGAAGACAACCAGCAATTTCCTCCTGGAATCTGACGTAAGTCTAAATTAAAGAGAAAACCTGGGAGATAGAATAGTATTTCTTCTTTATTTTCAGAAAGGACATTTACTAGTTCCCTCCTAGAGGTGAAGGATGCATTTAAAGTGCTTGTTTCCTCTCTATATGGTCAAGCTTGCACAATACCAAAATGGTCTGTCCACAAGTGGCAAGTCTAAGCATATCATTTATTTGACATTGCCTCGGCCAGAGAGTAGTTGTTTCTTTGAATGCAACATTTTAAATAAAACACAGTCAGATGGAATGTGGATTGTGTAGCTATTCTGTGAATTAGTTTGCTCTCAGGATTCAAGACATATTTAACCTGTGTTAACAGCAGACCTACCTGGGAACATTGCAGATCTCTATCCTCAAACCCATACTACTTGGGGGCTGCAATATTAGCCAATGTCCTTAAGGCAAAAAAAAAGGGGGGGAAGGTTTTAACAGTGGACCATAAAATGTTGAAATACACACTCACACACACACACATGCATGCATATTCACAAACAAAACACATATATAGACAAAAATAACCCATAAACTTTCAAGATAGAATGGGAAAAAAGCAACAGATACTTCTTTTTCTTTATTATCATAGAGAGTTATTATTCATGCAACAGAAGAAAAACCAGATAGCCTCTCCTATCGCAAGCATGAGAACTTCCGCAGCTCAAAATGATCAGCTAGAAAACCCTCACGTATCACGGGTCCCTGGACAATCACTGTTATAAGAGGGTGGGCTGCATTTTTAAAGAGTCACGTGATATTTTGAAGGATGTAAGGTGACTTACCATGAAGGGTCAGCTGACATTCTCTGCATAAAATTCAGGTTGAGGTTTGATTTATTGGAGAGTCAACACACTTGTCTTTTGGCTGTTGTCAGCAAGCACAGACAGAGGCCACCAAGAGTCCCCCAGGAAGCCCTGAGCATCTATATCATTAGCCCAGGAAGGAGTAAGCACAGCCCAACCTCTCCTTAAGAAGCAGCAAAGAGCAGGAATTAAATGGGAGAAGATCAAATACTTAACACACTCTATTATATAACACAGCTCCCTAAAATAGGAAACGAAAACATTTAGCGAATAATAACAGCTATGACAGCAGCTTTTATTAAGTAGTTATTATATGACAGTTATTATATTAAGTGTTTATAAACATCCTGTAATTTAATCCCTACAACAATTCTACGAGCTAGGTGTTATTTATTACTATCATTATCTTTTTATAGGTAAAGGAAAGGAACTTGCCCAAGATCGCACACCTTGGAAGTTGCAGTGCCTGCTTTGTCTGTCCTCTTAGATACTATGCAAGTCACAGGCCAATAAATGCATTATGTTATTATGGCAGTGGGAATGCTGGATGATTGAAAGACTTGTTCAAGACAAAGAAGACACCCATGGCAGAGCTAAAATAAGAATAATTTGCTCTTTAATAGTAAAGTAATTCTTTGTCTTAACCATCTGATCCTAATGAAAAATGACTGATGATTTAATGCAGACTAAAAACCAAAACTTGAATTGATTCGTTGACATGGACAAAACTAGAATTGCCTGCAAATATTCCCACAGCAGTGATAAGAGCCACCCTTACGAAAGAAATGAAATATGCATGAAGGCTGCAGGTGGCAACCCCGCTCTCCCCACAGAGTATACCTTTCCTCCGTGGGCCTTGCTTACTCCACTTCCCTTCCCCCTGAGACCCAGAGGTCTCACATTCTTTTCCCTTCCTTCCCATTAACCCTTGGACTTGAAGAAATAAAACAATTCATCATAGAAAACATAAAGTAGCGATTATTATCCCAAGTACAACCAAGAGGATACTATTCATTGCAAACTGAGGATTCAAAATTGCTTTGAACTTGGTTAATCTTTTGGTGTTTGTCTGATAATAATACAAATCTAAGAAGACTTTTTTGCATAATTTTGTTCATGTGTTTTCAAAATATGTTAATGCACCCAACACTCATATTTGAATTTCTAAGTACTCACACCAGTCTCCAATAAAAGGAACCAGGGCTCCTTGGTGAAATAGCTGATTCTAGAGCTGGGTCAAGGAAAATACAAGATGAGCTTAGAGCATGATCTAGTGCCAAAAATAAGGAAGTGCTACCAAAAAAATGGTGGAGTATGTCATAGGAGCCAACCGGAAAGAGCTCCTAATTGCCAAAGCTGGAACAATTTGAGTAACAAAAGAAATAATATTGTATTGGATTACAATCCAAAGCATAAAATAAATATACATAATGTCATATTGATATAAATAATGATCTAATAAATAAATAAATAGGGGAAAAGAGACAAATCATCTCTATAGAAATTGCCAAATAATATATGCTGATACACCCCCTTCTAAAAGTAGTAGGCTAGTTTTAGTAACTTGCTTTCAAAGAATAGATATTGGGAAATGGGAAGATAGTAACTTTTCAATACAGAAACCTGGCAAATACTACCTTACCCAATTGATCAAGTTTAACTTCACCAGTGATAAGACATGTTGATATCATGTACTTCCTGATCTTAAAAGCCACTTCACTCTGTGATATTCTTTCCTTTTTTTTTTTTTTTTTTTTTTTTTTGTGAGATGGAGTCTTTTGTGACCTGTGACCTCTGCTTCCCAGGTTCAAGCAATTCTCCTGCCTCGGCCTCCCGAGTAGCTGGGACTACAGGCACACGCCACCATGCCCAGGTAATTTTTGTATTTTTAGTAGAGACGGGGTTTCACCATTTTGGCCAGGATGGTCTCAATCTTTTGACTTCGTGATCTGCCCACCTTGGCCTCCCAAAGTGCTGGGATTACAGGAATGAGCCACCGCGCCCAGCCTGTGATATTCTTTCCAAAAACTCACAGATCTGATTGAATCATGAGAAAAACATCGAACAAACCCAAATTGGTGCACATTCTACAAATATACATGACAAGTCAATATCGTGAAAACAAAGGATGGCTAAGAAACTCACAGGCCAGAGAAAACATGATGCCTAACTGCAACGTGGCATCCCAAAACTGGTGAAATCCAAATAAAGCTGAGAGTTTAACTCATGGCAATGGAACAACTTAGTTTTGACAAGTGTACTATGGTTATATAAGAAGTTAAAATTAGGAGAAATTGAAACTAGATGATATTAATAATTTAGTGAAAACTAAATGGACAAAACAATTAACATAGATAGGATAAATAAAACAGATGAGAAACATGAGGGGTGCCAGTTTGGTTCAAACCAAGGACTTGTTCCAGGTATTAACGATGTGTCCCAGAAGCAAAATCTGTTCTGTTTTGAATACATAGGGAAACCTTGGTCACTTGGGATAGTCATGAAATTTTAAGAGGAACACTTAACAAATGTGTTAAAATTGTTAATCAGTTAAGGGCAACGTACAGACCTCTAGAATTTTTTTCTCAGTTAGGCAAGGAGATGAGCAAGGTCTGAGAAAACATATTGTCTCATATTGATGCTCATTGACAAAGAAAATTTCCCACTCACCTTACTGAGTCAGTGAAAACTTCAAGTGTTTTTGAATGAAAGCTTCAATCTGTGGCTTGTATGCATGACTGAAAATGACTTTGCAAATTAGCATCTTTTGCCTATTCTTACAAGGCAGTCTCACTTCAGTACTCCACCTGTAAGTCAAAGCAAACATGGAAATTCTAACCTGGAGCTGTAGGGTATACACCCCCAGGGAGGTGAGTTGGATTCTTTCCATGGTCTGAACCAGCTGGTTATGTACTCATCTGTCAGATTTGCTGAAAATGTGTTCAACCTTGTTAAGAAACCCTTGAAAGACCTGAGGAAAGACCTTCATAAGTATTTTCCTAGTCCAATGAGAGAAAGATAAACAACACGTTCCCCAGCAGTTCACAGTCATGACCAAGTAATTTGATACCTTCCATACAAAAATAGACACTGAAGATCACTTTGAATAGCTTCTTGAAACAAAAGTCTCCTGGAAATATTTGACCAGTGTATAAAACATTCAAAATTTATGGCTGCCAACATTTTTGTGTACCATTCTAACATTTTAAATTTCCTACATAGGTAAAATCTATGAAGAATTCATATTGCTAGAATGCCTTGCAACTAGGGTGTACCTGATTGACTTGGCTTCAGCCAACTATAACACCCATGAGAGGCTTGATTCAGAAGTAACCATCATGAAGAAGTGGCTGGGCAGGCGTATGGACCTTCTGTCAAGCACGAGGGCAAAAAATGTTGTTCTTTCTGGAACAATAGTGTTCAGTGCTAACAGTCATGGTTGCCCATCAGCAGTGCTCATGTTTCTCAAGGGATACCTTAGTGTAATTGGGCATTACAACTGTGCAGCCTCAAAATCTGGCTTTCTTATCCTAATGAACTTTGTGAGTTACTCAAAACCCTCAAATAGATTTCTTGGCTGCTTGAGGTAGCCGCATTGAATTCTGTTGTTTGCAACTAAGAACCCCCATCCACACAATTAGTAGTAATTAAACATTTTTCTTCTTTCTAATTATATACATGGGAGTTGAAATGTGCTTAACATAAAAGTAAAGCCTAGAGTTATCTTACTCACTAAGAATCTCATTTTCACCTTCAACTAGTCATATGAAATCAAATATCCTTTATTGCTGCCAAAGAGAAACAAGTTTACTCGATGATTAACTTAATTTTGGTACATATTTTTGCAGATCAATTTGATTATAACTTACATTTCATTTATATTCATGTTTGAAATTAATTGTTCAATGAACAACATTATTTTGTTTTCATGGAATTTATTTTGATGAACAGTGAATCATCATAGGAAAAATAATGAGTATAATAGCATATGCGGTATATGACATGGACAAAAATTGGGAAGGTAACACACAAAGGACAAAAGTAGAGAAAAGAGTTCATAAATATTCCTAAATGAATCAGAGAAAAGTTTACAAAGATGAGAGCACGAGGCAACTATTGAGTCAAGGGTTTGCAGGATAGGCAAGGAAGAACGAGAGAATTCCAGGCAGAGACCAGAAGTGAGGAAACAAGAGGACTGGAATGGCATGGTGTGCTGAGGAAAACTCTGACAGTGCAAAATGACTGGAGAGTGAGGTATTAGACAGAAGTAAAGTCTGTTGAATAAGCGTAAAGATGCAGGCATGGGTCCTGAACATAAAGAGCCTCATATATCTTGCGTAAGATTTTAGAGTTTATGGAGGATTGGGAGCAACTGAAGAATTTTAAGTGCTGGAACACATCATTAGATTCACTTTTTAAAAACACAACATTTAAAAAGAGACCCTTTCCAGGAATATTTGAATTTTACTAGAGACCAAGCCCTGTATAAAAAAGATAGTGCTCTGATGGTAGAATCTCAGGCATCATTCAGAAATGAGAAGACTACTCCCAGATGGTAACATTGTACCTTGCATTAGGTTTACCTGTAAGACTGGCTTTGTTGGAAATGAAAACTAGATGTTAGCTTAATGTGATCCTGAAGTGGCTTGAAACAATAGATACAATCTCCAGAAAAGTAGACCACATCAGGAGAACAGTGGCCAAGCTGCCAATATTGAAAATGCTACCTGCCTGTGGAAATGAGTGGTAAGTCTATAGCAGGGGCCGTGGGTTACTTGGTTCTCTCTCTCAGTTCCTTCACAGTTCCCTAGTGTGATCTGAGGACAACCCATGTCTCACAAGGAGATTTCTCAAAATGTAAAGCAAAGCCCCCTCTTCTTTTTCACATCTCAAAGTCAATGCCATATCTTGGTTCTAAATATTAACTTGGAGGTAATCATGTTTTCTAAGTGATGTAGTCTTTCAAGATTGAAAAGCAAACTATCCATTTCATCTCCAGTTTTATTCAAATCTTTATGATTCTTCATTAAATACAGTTGGTATCACAATACTTTCACTTTTGTGTGGGCAAGGACCTGAGTATGGCCAGAAGAAGCCAGGCTGTGTGGCAATCTTAGCAGGAGACTGAGATCCCGCTGGAGCGCTTCTGCATCCTATCTGTGCCAGTGATGCTTCTTCCTGGGGGCCTTGTGGCCGTGGTTTCTGAGGTCTACTTTTGCTTTCTATGGTCACTCTGGACGATATTTGCAGGATTTCTTCAACATAACACTTTTCTTGCTCCAGCTGTTTTAATCCCAAACTGAATGGAGCTGCTAGGTTTATCAAGACATTTTGGGCTGTTTGAGAAAGATAAATAGGCAATTCTGTCTGTCTGTCTGACTGTATTTGTGTTTCTCTGAGTCTCTCCTGTGTCTTCAACCACCGGCTGAACAGTGAAATATTCCATTAATCGATTGTTTTATCGATATGGTGCCAAGCAGCCAATGAGACAAAATCTTTTCCACAAAATCAACACTCTGTATCTGTTTATATACAGATACAGAGGTAGATATACACAGTCCCTGACTTAGGATAGTTCAACTTATGATTTTTTAACTTTACAGTCGTTTTATTGGGATAGTAAATGCATTTTTTAACTTACGATATGTTTGACTTATGATAGGTCTATTGGGATGTAAACCCATTGTAAGCTGGGGAGCATCTGTAGATGTCAATGTAGACATACATATGGATAAATAGAGACATATGGGAGGGATTGAGTGAATTAATCAGCTTTAGCACTGCCGTGATCTCTTACTAACCCCAAAAGCGTCATATCTTTATGACCTAGGATTTCCACTCTGCCTTTGTCTAACATAAACTCTTGAAAGAAATTCAAGTGACTGAGTAATTTGCTTTCCTACTCATTTATTCTTTCCCATTAAATTTAAAATTGTCATATTAAATGTCTATATCAATCTGCATTTGGAAGCTTCAAAGCCAGGTGTTCCATCCTTTTTGTTTAGTTTCTGGGGGCCTAAACTATTTAACTAAGATCCTGAATGTTTACAAAGCACCAAGGAGAAGAGCGCAACTAAGGGGAGAAGCCAGCTCCACACACAACTGCCACAAGATAACCATATATAGTTATGTCTCTTCTGTCATGTCTTTAGTTAATTTTCACTAATCAGATATATATTATAGGCTTGGGTGCTATTTTGCTTAGCCGAGGACAGAATCACTGATCTTTGATCTACTCATCTAACTTTGGTTTAATTTTATAGTTTTCAGGGTGGTGATATCCCCTCGGTCTTAATTATCCACAAACCTCAACAACCGGGGTCAGTCCTCTGGCCCAGCTCCGTTTCCCCATTGTCTATCTTGTGATTGGACTGTATTACGGTCCTATTTGATTATCTCTGCCAATGTTGTCCTTTATTGGAATAACTGAACTGACTACATGTCTTTACAGACACAGGAGTATATTAAAAGCCAACTGGACTAACAATAAATACAATGTAAAGTAACATAATTATAAGGCTTTAGGGGAAATCAGTGTAAGTTTTAACCCCAAATAATAAAAATAACCCCATAATATCGTATTATGAATCTGCCAGAAATAAAAAAGATAAACTATTTTGCTTAATTTGAATTCAAATACATCATATAAAAATTAAATATATTGAGTCATTGTTAATAATTATTTTAAAATTGAAAGAGACTGGTAAGACAATAAAAAGACAATCCACAGACTGAAAAACAAAAATTATTTAAAAATTTTCCACTACTTTAATTCCCCTTAGAAATTAAATAATATAAATTACCATTATTTAAAAAAATTACGCTTGCCTATTTTTTTTGAAAGTAAACAACACTGAAAATTATAATAAAGAAATCAACAAAAGACCTCAAATTCAACCACCCAGAAATAGTTGACTAGTTCGTGCCGTTCCTTCCAGACACCTCTCTTGCATGTAACACACAAATGGATACCTAATAAACAAAAGTAACTTTATAACAATTGAAGCATAATATACTTGTTACTCATTTATTACATTTTTCTACTTTAAGGAAGCTGTTTATCCTCTTGTTGAATCATCTTTGTTAGCCCTTCCTATCAAGAATTCTCTCTCTATTGCCTTCATTATTATTTTTTTTCTCCTCGATATTCAGTTAATTCTGAAGTCTTTTCTTTAAGACAGTTCTAGGTGCACCTATTCTGTTACTTGCTGATAATTATTTATTTTATTTTATTTTATTTATTATTATTATTTTTGAGACGGAGTCTCGCTCTGTCGCCCAGGCTGGAGTGCAGTGGCGCTATCTTGGCTCACTGCAAGCTCCGCCTCCCGGGTTCATGCCATTCTCCTGCCTCAGCCTCCCGAGTAGCTGGGACTACAGGCGCCCACCACGCCCGGCTAATTTTTTGTGTTTTTAGTAGAGACGGGGTTTCACCGTGTTAACCAGGATGGTCTCGATCTCCTGACCTCGTGATCTGCCCACCTCAGCCTCCCAAAGTGTTGGGATTACAGGCGTGAGCCACTGCGCCTGGCCGATAATTGTTTATTACATCAAGTAATGTAGGTGTTCTGTTTCTCAATATATTCCCTACGTATTCAAGTTCCCTTTTAATCTTTTGTAGTGTTGTTGCCATTTCATCTGCTTGGTCTTCTGTTTTGCTGAAGTGCTTAAACAGCACAAAACACTTTTCACAGAGAATTCTTCAATTCTTTTGGTTAAGTTTTTGTAAATTTGGGTTTTAAGTGTTATCTTGTGGCTTTAATTTGTATCTTCCCAATGACTAATGCTGTTGAGCATCACTTCCTGTGCTTATTTGCCATCCATGTATCTTCTCTGGTGAAGTGTCTGTTTAAATCTATTGCCCATTTTTTCAAATAGTTGTTTTCTTATCATTGAGTTTATTCTGGATACAAGTCCTTTACGAGATATTTGCTTTGCAAATATTTTCTCTCAGTCTGTGGATTGTCTTTTTATTCTCTTACCAGTCTCTTTCAAAGGCCAGAACTTTTTCATTGTGATGAAGTTCAATTTGTCAATTTGTTCTTTTATTGATTGTATTTTGGTATCATATCTAAGAAAACTTTCTCAATCCCAGGTCACAAAGGTTTTCTCCTATTTTATGTTGTAGAACTTTTATAGTTTTATGTTTTACACTTAAGTCTATAATCCATTTTAGGTTAATCTGTGTATATGGTGAAAGTATGAAGTTTTTTGTTTTTATTTTGTTTTGCATGTGTTCTAGTACCAGTTTTTCCAACACCATGTGTTGAAAAACTATCCTTTTTCCACTGAATTGCCTTTGTGCTTTTGTGAAAAATCAGCTGGTCATATGTATATATGTCTGTTTTGGTTTCATTGATTTGTGCGCCTATAATTATGCCAATATCACAGTCTTGATTACTATAGCTTTATAATAATCTCAAAATTGGATTGTGCTATTCTTCTAAATTTGTTATTCTTTATTAAAGATGTTTTGGATATTCGTGGTTCTTTTTTTTTTTTTTTTTTGAGACAGAGTCTCTCTCTGTCACCCAGGCTGGAGTGCAGTGGCGGGATCTCAGCTCACTGCAAGCTCTGCTTCCCGTGTTCACGCCATTCTCCTGCCTCAGCCTCCCGAGTAGCTGGGACTACAGGTGGCCGCCACCACGCCCGGCTAATTTTTTTTGTCGATTTTTTAGAAGAGACGTGGTTTCACCGTGTTAGCCAGGATGGTCTCGATCTCCTGACCTCGTGATCTGCCCATCTCGGCCTCCCAAAGTGTTGGGATTACAGGTGTGAGCCACCACAACCGGCCTATTCGTGGTTCTTTATATTTACATATTAATCTTACAATCAGTTGTCAATTTATCCAAAAAAAAATTGAAGGTAATTTTCCTTGGAATTGCAGTGAATCTATAGATCAATTTGTGGAGAGTATACATCTTAACACTGTTGAGTCTTTGGACTCTATATAGTTAAGTCTTCTTTAATTTCTCTAAACACTGTTTTGTAGCTTTCAGTGTACAGATAGATATTTTCCATGTTTTGCCATATTTATCCCTAAGTATTTAATTTTTTTGGATGTTATTTAAATTGATGTCATTCATTTTAAATTTCATTTTCAGATTGCTCATTGCTATCATATGCAATTAATTTTTGTATATTGATTTTGGATCCCACAATCTTGTTAAACCCACGTATTAATTCTAGTAACATTTTGTAGGTTCCATTGTAAGAAGAAAACCCTAAGTATTTTCTACTTAAACAGTGATACCATCTGTGAATAAAAATAGTTTTACTTTTTCCTTCTCAATACGGATGGTTATATTTCTTTTCTATTGCCTTGTATATAGTAAGAAAAAGTATTACATTTTACAATGTTGAATAGAGGTGGTGAAACAGACATCCTTACCCTTATCCTGATTTTGAAAACATTAAGTCTTTCACCATTAAATATAATGTTATCTGTACGTTTTTTTGTAGATGTCCTTCCTCAGGATGAAAAAGCTATCTTTTATTCCTAGTTTGCTGAGAGTTTTTATCAGGAATGGACATTAGATTTTGTCAAATGTTTTTTGGTGTCTACTGAGGCAACACTATTTCAGTTTCTCAAAATGGTAAATGACAATATTTGAATGTTAAACTTATCTTGTATTCCTGGGATTAAACACAACTTGATCACGATTCTATTTATACATTGTCGGGTTCAATTTGCTAAAACTTTACTTAGGATTTTTTTGCACTTATGTCTATCAGAGACAGTGGTCTGCAGTTTTCTTTTCTTGTGTGTCTGATTTTGGTATTAGGGTAATGCTGTCTTGTAGACTGCATTGGAGAGTAGTCCCCTCTCTTCAATTTTCCGGAAGCACTTGAATAGAATTGATGTTATTTCTTAAATGTCTGGTAAATTTACCAGTAAAGTCACCTGGAGAATGAATCTTTTGGGGAGATGGTTTTTAACTAAACATTTATTTAACAGATTTTTGGCTAGTCAAGTTACCTACTTTTATTTCTTGAATGAGTTTTGGTAGTTTTTATCTTTCAAGGAATTTGTCCAGTTTATCTAAGTTGTCAAGTTTATTGTCATAAAGTAGTTTATCTTTATAATATATGTAGATTCTGTATTTATATAATTCTTTCATTCATACTACTCATTCACACTATTGATCATTTGTGTCATTTCTCTTTTTTTCTGATCGACCTGGCTAGAACTTTCTCAATTTCATTTATCCATTCAAAGAAACAGCTTCAGGGTTCCTTAATTTTTCTATATTGTTTTTTTCTGTTTTCTACTTTTATCTTCTTTAAGATGGAGTCTCACTCTATTGCCCAGGCTGGAGTGCAGTGGTGCAACGTCAGCTCACTGCAACCTTGACTTCTCAGGTTCAAGTGATTCTCATACATCAGCCTCTTGAGTAGCTGTGACTACAGGTCCCACCACAGTAGCCACCACAGCCGGCTAATTTTTGTATTTGTAGTAGAGACGGGGCTTCTCATGTTGGCCAGGCTGGTCTTGAACTTCCGAACTCAAGTGATCCACCCGCCTAGGCCTCCCAAAGTGCTGGGATTACAGGCATGAGCCACCGCGCCTGGCCTGTTTTCTGCTTCTTTATTTCTGCTTTGATTTTTATTATTTCCTTTCTTCTATTTGCTTCGAGTTTAATGTGCTCTTTTTCTAGTTTTTTTTAAAGATGAAGCTGGAGTCATTCATTTGAGACGTTTCTTTTTTTCTAACATGGCACTTAGTGCTATAAATTTTCTTTTAAGCACTGCTTTAGTGCATCCCACAAATTTCAATGCATTATATATTAATTTCATTCAGTGCAAAATACTTTCTACTTTCCCTTTAGATTTGCCCTTTGACCCATTATATTACTTAGAGGTACACTATTTAATTTCCAATATTTATGGATTTTCTAGAGATATTTCTACTAATGATTTCTAATTAAATTCCATTGTCATTACGAAATGTACTTTATAAGACTTGAATTCTTTTAAATGTATTGAGAATTGTCTTATGGCCCAAAATATGGTATAGTTTGGTAAATGTTCATATGCACTTGAAAAGAATGTTTATTCTGCAGTCGTTGGGGGGAGTTTTCTATAAATGTTAATTAGATCAAGTTGGTTGATAGTGTTGTTTAAATTTTTTATATTTTACTGCTTGCCTGTCTAATGATTTTATCAACCAGTGGCAGACAGGTATTGATATCTCAGACTATTTTGAAATAAATCCATCCAAAGACACTTAGATAATTGAGTAGCCAAATTAAAGAAGAAAACCACATCATTATATTTTTAAAGGAAAAATTTGGGGAATGGGGCATCAATTAACATAAAGGAATGAATCAGTAGGTGTAGAACTGAATGCATGGGAGGAGATCTTTGCTGATCCCTGAAGCAGTCGTTTAGGTAACCACCTATTGTACTTATGCATAAAGATAGGACCCTTCCATTAGTTCCCACTATGAATTTTCTAATGGAGGAAGTTGAGACGTATGAGATGAACCCACTTGAAAATGAAAAATTTGTCCGGGAATGACAATCTTTAGGGACACCCTTAGCTGCAATCACAAGCAGCAATACTGTAACGTCATTAACCTCATTCCTCTCATTCTACAAAAGGTAACTTTATCTGTGAACTGTGCATCCACACACTCACACAGATAAGAGGCCATTAACAAAAGCATGAGTGTTGGCGGCCCCACCAACTCTATCTAACCCAGTTAGCACATTTTCTAGCATTTTTGTCATGAAGTCATTGGCAGTGTTAGTGTTCGAAAACTGCATGGCTCAGATGTTTCTAAACCCTTTTAATCCATGACAAAGGCCTCCCTTTATTGTTGTTTTGTTTTCCTTCGCTGCCCTACAGCATGGCAGCCAGTGTGCGCTCCTGATAAGCAGTGAGCCATGCAGATGCGGTTCAGTTTCCTTGTGCGCACCACCATGCAACCTGCCAAGGCCCCAGTGTGGAAGGCAGCATGGCTTCCCCTCCCCGCTCCCAGAGCCAATGCCAGTGGCACCCTGCACAATGGTTAGCCAGGAAGATAACTTCAGAAGAACACAAAATTAATTTTTTGTGACACAAGTGACGTTTACCATTAACTAATTTTGGAGATGCAGCATAGCTAATGTAAATAATTTCATTCTAATCCAAGTGAGATGAAAGCAGCAACCTTCCAACTTGGAGCATAAAGGAAAAGAAACTGCTACTATGATAATGGACGTTTAAGAGGTTACTTTCTTTCTCTTCCTGGCTTTTCATGGTAGGTATGAAGATAAGACTACACTGGTTCAGAAAACAATGCTGATACTTGCTGTTCTTGACAGAAAAGGCTCTTCTGTGTCCAGGGGAGCGTGACAAAGGAAACAAGAGAGGAGACTCTTTAAATGGTCGTCGCCAAAATAAACTGGATTGAGAACAAAATGTGTGAAGGAATTGACAGTCAGTTGAGTCTATGGCCTAAATGACTATCTTCACTACCAAGTTCAGAGGAAGGGCTAAATCAGTGCACACATGGATTCTAAGGGGACCCCTGGGCTTCTGGTAGCAAATGATGGGCCAGGGTAGAGTCACGTTTGAGAGCAGCTATAAAATGGTTGGGACAGAGGAGTCAATGTACAGGGCAATTTAGAATCCAGTGGAGAAGGCCAGATGCCAGAAGAGCACTGAGAATCAACTGGATTACAAGAGAGAGGCCTATTTCCTGGATTAGAGGCTAATAGCTACATCTGGATTTGAAGAATGAGAATCAGCGGAATCCATAATGACAGACCACATGGAAGGTGGAGGTATGAGACAATATGAGATAGTGGAAGTCAAAGACCACTTGTTAAAAACCCACTCAGTGATGGCATGCATCTTTAAACTGCAATGCCAAATCCCTACCACCACCCCTGATTCTTAAAGGAACTAACAGGATTTTGAAAGCTACTTCAAATTCTGCATACGCTGCAGGTCAATATCCTCGAACAGTTCATGATAAGAGCTGCGTATCTAAACTTTCAGGGCCTTTTCCATTTTCTTCCTGGATTTTTCAAATGATCAAGAGACACTATCCTCCTATCTCAAGAAACATACAGTAAATTACAGAGAGCTAGAAAGGGTAGAATAATTATATCACAGAAATTGTATTTTTCTGACAATATGCTTTTAACAAAACAATTTTCATTCCAAGCTTCCCACCATCTTTTACCTTTCAACTCTGCCCATGCCACATCTTCCCTGGTACTTTCTACCCTCCAAATAGCAAGGGCAGAATGAGCTATCCCACCATAGTACCCACATGAAAGCAGTCTCTTCCCAGCCTGGGAGGCGAGAGCCCGTTTTCCACCAAATGTCTAGCAGATGTCCCGGACTGAGATTCTGTCCATCTATCAATCAGCTTTACAAAACGGTGTTATACAAATGATTGAGAGACACTTCCAATCTTCTTGGCATTCATTGATCACACTATGTCTCTCCTTCAGTTTGCTTCAGATTACTTCCTAATCCATCCCCCTCCTCATCTCAAACTGCTTCCTACAATTTCACATAAGCCTTGAGTTACATTTTTTAAAGTCCCTATAACCTGCCACTTCCCTAAATCCACTGCCTATAACATCTTTTCTGAACCTGGGACAACACCCAGTGCGTACTCATACTCTCTCTAGTATAACTGGTTGTTCAGAGATTCTAACTAGAAAAATCTGTTTCTCCTCCTCCTACCAGCCATAAACCACACCCCTGCCATCTTTTAAGATCTAACTCAAATCACGTCTCTTGGCTTCCCCTGGTTATGCAAGTTAGTATCTAATACCTAAGCTCAGCTCTCTCAGGTCCATCTGTTCTTCCTTCCTTCTTCCCTTTCTCCTTCTTCTTTTCCTCCCTTCCTCCCTCCCTCTCTTTTTTCCCTTCTTTCTTCCCTTCTTCCCATTTCCTTTCCTTCCTTCTAGCAAACAGTTAATGACCTCCCACTGTATACCAGGCACTCACTCTTTAAGGAACTGGGTTACAGGAGTAAACAAGACAGACAAGGTCTTGTTCTTACCAAGTTTACATTCTAGAGGGTGGAGACAGACAATAAACTATTAAATAAATAAACAGGAAAACTGTCGGATATGCGATAGTGACTGTATGGATAGTTAATGGGATGAGGAATGTTCAGTGGATACTTTAAATGGGTGGTAGGAAGGGCCTCTTTGAGGAGATGACATTTGAGTTATGATTGAAATGACTGAAGGAGGAATCCATGCTTCCTACTTGGAGGGAAGAGCATTCCAATGCGGGGAAATTTCCAGTGCAGGGGCCCTAAGATAAAGTCTAATTGGGAAAATATTATCTTTTACCTTATTGTGTCTATGCCATAACTACACGTGTTATAGGTAATGTAATATATATTGCACATGTAATAAACATGTAATACTATGAGGGACCATCCACATTAATTATATGTTTACAAACTTTTTCTTCCCCAGTGGATTCTGTTCAGAGTGTGCAGTAAACTATTACCCAAACTAATAAGTTCTCGACCTACTTTTGAAGATATTGACTAAGAATCAGATCCAAACCTCTCACATCTGAAAGGAAAAGTGACAAATTTCTGAATAATAGTACGTGAATTTATTCTATAGCTGCTCTCTGGACCAAATGATGCCTAAACCCAAGAGAGAAATTAATGCACAGTTCATCAAGATTTACACGTAAGCACACGCCTAACTCTTGACTTTTTCTCATTAACTTTTATGGTGCAAAGTTCTTTGAGCTGCTCCCTTTCACAGAATGACCCCATGTTCCCCATCATCCATTAACCAGCTTTCCCTAGCTCAGTTGAACACATCGTAAAATTATTTTCAGTAAGAAACCAGCTATACATTTTATGACTTATATAATAAAGAAACAAGAAAAATATGCACTTTATAAAATGATAATATGCTGTCATATGGAGCTTTTAAGTTAATGGGACATATAGGAAATGGTGCCGTTAACAAAAAGAAAAAAGAAAAAGAAAGTAATATATTATCATATCCTCAGTGCTGCTGCTGGCTGCATTTGGGTCCACAGTGCAAAGAATGGAGCAAAAACTCATAAAATAGGAAACGCGCAAATAATGTCACTTTGCGCCTTAGAACGCCGAAGTTTTCTGAATTAAAAAAATAATAAAAACCAGCCTGGCCAACATGGTGAAACCTCGTCTCTACTATAAATACAAAAAAGAAAAAGAAAAAAGAAAAAAGAAAAGAAAATGCCAGGCATGGTGGCGAGCGCCTGTAATCTCAGCTACCTGGGAGGCTGAAGCAGGAGAATTGCTTGAACCCGGGAGGCGGAGGTTGCAGTGAGCCGAGATCACACCGCTGCACTCCAGCCTCGGTGACAGAGAGAGACTCTGCCTCAAAATAATAATTAATAATAAAAATAAGGTAACAGCACAGCTCACATCAGTGAACATAGGTGTGTGAACCTGCTTGTCTTGGCTTTCCAGCAGGCAGATGTCCAGGGACATGCGGCCGGAAGAACCGGATTTCAGCCCGGCTGAGTCACCACAGCAGCCGCCTTGTGATGGATGTAGCCCGCAGGCGGATCCAGCCGCCTCGAAACAGGTATGAATTGTGAAGTGGGCCAAAGAGAGCAGATCAGCTGCTCCACAGTCTGGTTCAGGTTTCACACAGAAACAGGGAAGTGATGATAAATTTGCAAGTACACAGGCACAAAAGGTTCTCACTCACAGCTGGTGCATCTCATTCCACTCTTCAGAAAATCAAGGGCAAAACTGGTTGTTAAGAAGCCTTGTGATTTTCATCTCCTGAGAATAGCTGAGAGTAACCAAGATATTGGAAAGCAGTGATAAAGCCTGGATTTGTTTTCAGTTTTTATTACAAACATTAAGCTACTGATTACGGGGGAGGCAATGTTTTTTAGTAATAAAGGACACAGGTTCGGGAGCCAACATGCCTGAGTTCAAATGTCTCTGTTATTTACGAGGTAACTTTGGAGGTTACTGCAATGTGCTGTTTTTCATTGTACCCATCTATAAAATGGGAATATTAGTAATATATAGCATACAGGATTGTTGTGAGGATAACTGAAGTTATTAATTAAAGTGCTTGGCCAGGTATGGTGGCTCACATCTGTAATGCCAACACTGTGGGACGCTGAGGTGGGAGGATCACTTAAGTCCAGGAGTTTGAGACCAGCCTGGGCAACACGGTGAAATCCTATCTCTACCCAAAAAAAAAAAAAAAAAAAAAATCGAAAATTAGGCAGGCCTGGTGGCACACACCTGTAGTTCCGGCTGCTTGGGAGGATAAGGTGGGAGGATCGATTGAGCCTCGGGAGTTCAAGGCTTCAGTGAGCCGTGATTGCACCACTGCACTCCAGCCTAGGTGACAGAGCAAGACCTTGTCTCAAAAAAATAAAATAAAAAATAAAGTGCTTAAAGCCATACTCAACCAACAGTAAGTGCTGTACTTGGTAATTCTTCCCTAGTATCCTAACCTGAGAAAACTACTGGGAAGTCATCCCTGGTGTAAAACATTTAGGCCCTGATGGAGCCCCACCTCTCGGGAGACAGTTTATTCTATAGCAAGAAAGTCGCTGTGTGCACACACACACACACACACACACACACATACGTAAACCATAACAGACCTAGTGGTGACACTTGCCACCTGAGAAAAAGTGGGCTTAGAATCAGAATATGGCTTAATTATCCTATGAGAAACGCTTCAGGAAAAACTGCACTGCTCATGAATCTTTAATGTATTAAAGTGGATCAGAAAAACCTATGCAGCACTGTATTAGTCAGGGGTTTCCAGAGAAACAGAACGGATAGGACATATATAATTATTTATATAAGAAGAGACATAGGAATTGGCTCATGTGATTATGGAGGCCTAGAAGTCCCATAAAAATCTGCTGTCTGCACACTGAAGAACCGGAAAAGCCAATGGTATAATTCGGTCTAAGGCCTGAGAATCAGGGGCCAATGGTGTAAGTCCTGGTCTGAGTCTGAAAGCCTAAGAACCAGAAATGCTGATGTCTGAAGGCGGGAGAAGACATGTGTCTCAGCTCAAGCAGAGAGAGTGAATCCACCCTTTATCTTTTTGTTCTTTCCAGGGCCTCAAGGGATTGGATAAGGCCTACCCACATTGCTGAGGGTGGATCTTGTTACTCAGCCTACTAATGCAAATGCTTATCTCTTCTGGAAACATCCTCACAGATACACCCAGAAATTATGTTTAACCAGCTATCTGGGCATCCCTTGGTCCAGCCAAGTTGACACATGAAATTACCGATCACAAACACTTTGTTGCTTCATTGCTTATCAAATAAAGCAACTCTTCTATTGTCTATTAATGTTAACTTCCAAGATGGTGAGTCAAGTGCTAGCTAGTCAACTCTGTCACAAGGACTTCAAAATAGTCTTGTAGACACATCAGAAGGAAGGCTGCCAATCATTTGTGGAGTGCTCCAGAAAAGTGAGGACTCTAATCATACAACTTCAGAGCTGTCCCCACAGCAGTATCCCCTGGGGAGCTGGACAGATACTCCAAATCAGAGTTCATGCCAGGCAAATTAGGTCAGAACCTCTGTGAGTGGGGCCCAGGCATTGATGTGTTATTAAGACTCTCCTGATAATTCTGATACACAATGACATTGGACAACCACTGAATGGACCAATGCTTTTACTTTGCAAATAGGGACACTGAGGCCAACAAAGTGATTTCCTAAGGCCATGGAGTAGGGGGGTGTGGCTCCTGAGTGGCAGAGCTAGGATTAGTCCAAGGCATTTTTCATCCAACCCAAGTGCCAATAATTCTCAAATGGTGGGGAGTGGGGGGAGGGAGCAGGGATTGCAGGAGATGGAGCATATCAGAATCATATGGAATTACTTTTCATAGAATCACACCAGCACCACCACTGCTGCCGTGTTCCACCTCCCACCCCTCAAGTTGTTTTAGGATCTGATATGACTCTAACACATTCCTGCTGCCCAGCAATAATTCCCAAACATCTGAACCATCGGACGTGTGCAGACCCTACCCCATCCTGAAGCTGCAGCCCAGAATCTTTACCATTAAAAAGTTCTTTAGCTCGGCTGGGCGCGATGGCTCATGCCTGTAATCCCAGCACTTTGGGAGGCCGAGGCAGGCAGATCACAAGGTCAGGAGATCGAGACCATCCTGGCTAACACGGTGAAACCCTGTCTCTACTAAAAATACAAAAATTAGCCGGGCGTGGTGGCAGGTGCCTGTAGTCCCAGCTACTTGGGAGGCTGAGGTGGGAAAATGGCGTTAACCCGGGAGGCGGAGCTTGCAGTGAGCCGAGATCGCACCACTGTACTCTAGCCTGGATGACAGAGCGAGACTACATCTCAAAAAAAAAAAAAAAAAAAAAAAGTTCTTTAGCTAATTCTTACAATGAATTGGGGTTTGAGAAATACGGTGATGCACAGATGGTCAGTTATTGAGGTAGTAGCACATTATTCATGATTAATAAAACTTAGGATAAGAATGGACAATGAGGAGGGTATTTTGAAAGGAGGGGTTCTGGTGGGCTGACACAAGCACGCAGGGAGCAAAGGTCTATAACAGACATCTCAGCTCTTCCCAAGCCTGGGCAGAATTTTGTGTGACATCTTGCATTTCCCTTATTCTCAGGAGAACTAAACTGAAGTTAAGATACCTTAGTTTCCCCTTATTTGCTCTGTCTATGCAATCTTGATGTCTGTTTTATCTCCAATGTAATTAACAGTGAATAGAAGGGTGAACATGGATGTTTTTGAGTGGAGCCCCTGGTGTCAGGGGCTTTACAAATAGGGATAGCTGAGGCCAACAAAGTGATTTCCTCAAGGCCATGCAGGGGCTCCTGAGTGGCAGAGCCAGGATTAGTCCAAGGTTTTGGAAGAATCCCGACACACAAGTCTTTTCATGGATCAAGCAGGCCAGTACTGCATGTCATAGCTTATCTGGGTTCATAAGAGGAAAAAAGAACACTAGCCGAGACCCTAAAAAGCACACACCATCAATGTGCCCTGTCTTAATCATGATCAGTTCTGCTTGTTAGGGGGCATTGATTGGGAGATGGTATATTTGCCTGAGGGTAGTGCTAAGCTTGGGGGCATGGTGAATGATTTTGTAATTGGGAAGGGATTTGCCATATAGAAGTTTGTGACTCAGGGTTGAGTCTTTTGGTAGCTCATGATGCAACCCAAATCCTAGGACACGTGGTCAATAATGTGCCTTATCTTAGGATTCTCCCAGCCAGACTTTTGCATAAGTTGTCTTTCTAGCAGTCAATTAACATGGTGAGATCTATTTCACACACCGTGGCATCTCTCTAGAACAACTGAAAGGACTGGTGCAGCCACAGCTCGCTGCCCTCTACAATAACTTTCTGTCTGTTGCTGGGGTGAGTGGGAGACTGCAGTCTGGATGGGGCTTTTCCCAGATAGTCACAGATTCCTGCTTCTCCAGGCAGCAGCCTTACGTTCGAAGCGTGCTGCAATATAAAAAATCAGGCTTTTGCTGAAAGCCTTCCTTTGTCTGCTTTCTAGCCTACTTTGCCATCCAAAAAGATTCCACAGAGTTGATGTTTCCGCTCCTTTAATTCAGTGCTTGGGATGACACAGCCCCAGTCCAGCTGTCCACCCAGCAAAGGGGTGTGTGTAAATGTTGCCCAGTGTTCTCGGCCTCTTTTCTTTCTTTGGGTCGGAAGCAAGGCTGTCACACTGTATGTTGTTATTTAAGGGATATGCTGAGATGTTTCCTTTCTGTGGTGGCAAAGATCTTTTCAAGGGAGCCTCTTTATTCCTCTGACATTTCCACTCTTGAAAAGATGACCCAGTTCCCGCAGAATAACAAAGGATGCACACAGAGAAAACAGATTCCCCTGGAGGCCTGATAAACCCAGGTGAACTCTGGCCAACTGAGTTTCCCTCAGAGAGCTGGGCAAGCTGCCAGGAAGCTGAGGAAGATAGTCACATCTCAAAGATAATATGGACAAATTAAGATCTGCTTAGCTTTGAGCTGTCTTTCAGAATTTCTCTTTGATATGAATCCATGTGAGGACATCTGGTCTACCAGTTGTCTCCTTTAAGGCCAAGTGGGGTTTCGTTGGGGCCTGAGGATTCATTGCTAAGCCTGAGTTCCTGAACCAGTGTGAATGAACCAGAGCAGCCCCCAAGGTTTCCAGGACTCAGATGAGCTCACATTCACCACAGGTGCTGGCCTCTGTAGAAATTACTAGTTGTAGAATCTGGGGAGGGCAAGGGCTCGGCGAATAAGGGACTAAGCACCATGTCCTGTGCAACTCAAAAACTTCAAATATTACAATTATCGATCTAATTTGCTCGGAAAATTCCAAATAGAAGTTGGTTCCTTTCAACCCAAATGTCCATCAATGATAGACTAGATAAAGAAAATGTGGCACATATACACCATGGAATACTATGCTGCCATAAAAAAGAATGAGTTCATGTCCTTTGCAGGGACATGGATGAAGCTAGAAACCATCATTCTCAGCAAACTAACACAGGAACAGAAAACCAAACACCACATGTTCTCACTCATAAGTGGGAGTTGAACAATGAGAACACATGGACACAGGGAGGGGAACATCACACACTCCCTGTCAGGGGGTGGGGAACAAGGGGAGGGAGACCATTAGGACAAATACCTAATGCATGTTGGGCTTAAAACCTAGATGATGGGTTGATAGGCCCAGCAAACCACCATGGCACATGTATACCTATGTAACAAACCTGCACGTTCTGCACATGTATCCCAAAACTAAAAGCAAAAAAAAAAAAAAAAAGTTAGTTCCTTTATTGGGATCTCTTTGCCATTCTTCTCAGATATTTCCTATTTACCTTTTCCTTTTTTGACAACAGAACTAGAGAAATGCTCAAGATCTAATTTCCTTCTCCTTGACTCTCCTCTTTTTAGGGTGCATCTAAATGATAAAGCTATAGCTGCTTTTGTGCCTGGCCTGTAATTTGCCTTTCCAAGGCCAAATGTTATCTGTTTGGTGGTGTTGTATACAGAGAAAAAAGGATTCTTTAGGAGATGTGTTCTTTTCATCAGATTCTGTGATCAAAGAATGCCAATAAAGACAGACATTTGACTTTCGTAGTTTGTTCTGTATCTTCTCTTATACAATATTCCCTATTTTTTTACATTTTTGATCTAATGCATTGCCTCTCTGTAGCCATCTCTTTCTCATTTAGTCATTCAACAAATGGTTTCCATAGGTATTGCTCTAGGACTGGAAAAATAATAAAGCTCCCTGCCCTCTAGGAGGTGATGGTCAAGAGGGAGAGATGCACACAAGATCTTCACAACATCATTAGGAACAGAACCAAGTACTAGAAGAGAGACAGGTACAAAGTACCTCAGGAGCAGAAGAAATGCAGCTTATTCTACCAAGGAAGAACTGGGGAAGTTTTACAAAGGAGGTCCTGTTTATACTTGGCCTTTAAGAATAAACAGGTCTTTGTTAAGTGGATAGTGTTGAGAGCAACTGAGGAAGAAAGAACAGCACATGCAGAGGTCAGTAATCAAAATGGCACGTGGGCTTCTGTAGAAACCGCTAGTGACTGAGTGAGATGTGAGGCTGTCAAGGTGAACTAGGGGCCTGCCTGCAGGAGGATGTTTAGAAAGATAATTCCAACGCCATCACTGTCATCCTCATATTCGCTGCACAAATATGCACTGGGTACCACTATGTGTTAGGTGCTATTCCAGGAGCAAAACTGGGCCAACTGCCCCATCTACTCATTCATAGTCCCCAGGGGAAAGATAAAAGTGAAATCAGGATTTTAATCTGCTTGAACTTGAATTCCTTTTTTTAAAAATTATGGATATATTATACAGCAGGTCAGTAGCAGAGTAGTCAGAGCTAGAACTTGAACACTGTCCTAAGATTCAGCCCCTACTTCGCCTCTGTGAAATGCATGCTTAGTGGAAGGTAAATGTTCAGTGGCATCAAAGCTACTATGTGTCTGCAGTGAGCGCACATTGGCAACAATGATGGGAAAATGTGTTTTGTACACACAAACACATGTCTGTTTGCTTACACATAGATGTCCATTCTGCACGAATAGCAGACTTGTGAGTGGGAGAGGCAGGTGTGGAGTGATGGCTATAGAGTCATGGTACATCATGAAACCACTCCAGAGCAGGTGCTAAACACTTGTGACCCTCATGTGCCCCAAGTGTCAAGAGAAGTCATCTCCAGACCCATGCCAGCTCCACAGTGATCAGGGACAGTCATGCCACCTCTGTCTTTCTGCCAGCATATCCATCACTCTGTTGGTTTTCTGAATGCCTAATGCATGTTCAGCTCTAAAGAGGAGACAAAAATTTATGTAATGCCTTCCACGTGCCATGATCATATGTCTACTTTCATCTGTGTCATCTGGTTTAAACCTCATAATAAACCTATGAGGTAGGCATTGCCATTCCCAAATTTCTTTTGAGTAAACTGAGGCTTAGAGAGGTTAACTTGCCCATGCCATGGAACTTATAAGCAGCCACCATTGCCAAGAAAGGTATATGGGTTAGAGGTTAAAGTCTGTACAGGGAATCCTCACTTGATGTCACTGGTAAGTTCTTGGAGGCTGTGACTTTAAGTAAAATCACATAAAGGAACCAATGTGACCATAAGCTAATTGATATAAACAAGAGTGACGTTCCCTTGGCAAATTTCTGGTCACAAAAACACCGAACTTCTTTTAATTAATTAATTAATTAATTTTGAGACGGAGTCTCGCTCTGTTGCGCAGGCTGGAGTGCAGTGGCGCGATCTTGGCTCACTGCAAGCTCTGCCTCCTGGGTTCATGTCATTCTCCTGCCTCAGCCTTCTGAGTAGCTGGGACTACAGGCGCCCGCCATCACGCCTGGCTAATTTTGTTGTATTTTTAGTAGACATGGGGTTTCACCATATTAGCCAGGATGGTCTCGATCTCCTGACCTCGTGATCTGCCCCCCTCGGCCTCGGCTGGGGTTACAGGCATGAGCCACCACGCCCAGCCCAAACTTCTTAATAAAGACCAAAACAGTTTTAATATTAAACACTGAAATAAATGTGAGCTACACATACATTTAAGAAAGATTAATAAAAACAAGATAATGATTTACCCAATTTTTTATGAATCAGTAAGTGACAGTGACGTAGTGGTGGTGGGTCAGATAAAAAAATTCATGTCTGCCAAGCAAAAATTGTAAGGAGCCCCTCCTATAAGCATGCAGTTCAGAAACAATCACGAATACGGTGGGCCTCCGAGAGCTTTTGTACTGCATCATTTATTGTCATGTGTCTATACGATTATTGTATGCTTTATGAACGTTTATTTTGCAATAATTTGTACTCATTCACTTATTCATTTTTTCCAGTCTGCTCAGTTGAGTTCAGGGTCATGAGTGCTCAGGGTACCAGATGGGAACCAGCCCTGTGCAGAATGCCATCCATCACAGGGCATACCCATACACACCCACACTCACTCACACCGGGACAGTGCAGACATACCGATTCACCTAACATGCACAGCTTTGGGATGTGGGGGGAAACTGGAATACCTGGAGAAAACCCACACAGACAGTGGCCCTGGCTGGGATCTTTTTTTTTTTTTTTTTTTTTTGGTCAACATTATAGTGAAACATTGTCAAAAGAAAGGATGTTATTCCAGGACTTGCTGCAGGTCGGAGTTCATCCTAGCTCTGCTCTGGGACAGAGAAATAATGTTGGGTCATCTTGGAGAAGTTTCTCACTCTTCCTTAGCCTCAATTTTCTCATTTGGAAAAGAAGGATGAAAATAATTTCAGAGGGTTATTAGGATGAAGTAAGACAGTGGTTATGTAATTAACCTCTTGCCTCACACATAGCAAGCATTCAATACATAACAGCTATCTTTTTTTTTTTTTTTTTTTTTTTGAGATGGAGCCTTGCTCTGTTGCCCAGGCTGGAGTGCAGTGGCGCAATCTCAGCTCACTGCAAGCTCCGCCTCCCGGGTTCACACCATTCTCCTGCCTCAGCCTCCCAAGTAGCTGGGACTACAGGCGCCCGCCACTGTGCCCGGCTAATTTTTTGTATTTTTAGTAGAGACGGGATTTCACTGTGTTAGCCAGGATGGTCTCGATCTCCTGACCTCATGATCCACCCGCCTTGGCCTCCTAAAGTGCTGGGATTATAGGCGTGAGCCACTGCGCCCAGCCCATAACAGCTATCTTAATAAATGATGAAGCTGGGAGTCCCAGGCTCTCTATTACAGCACTTCCATAGGAAACCTTGGTGAGTTTCCATTTCCATTTTGTCAGCTTCACCCTCAATGTCAAAGAGGTGCTGCCAGTTCAAGGTCGAAGTCTAATGAACCATGAAAGAACAGCTTTCAGGTATGAGCCACCAGCTGGGATGCTTCTTGGGATGCTTCTTACCTATTGTTCTCTCTCTCTCTCTGTCTCTCTCTCTCTGTCTCTCTCTCTCTCTCTCTGCACTTAGCCCCTAGTAACCCTTAAGAATAAAGACAGCAGCCATTCTGGGGCACTGAAAGTATGTAAGGATGTTTCTCTTCATTGGGTAGCACTGGCAATAATACAACCCCAAATAATACATAAAGCTAAATGATGAAACTAGCCTAGCATACCTGAAAATACCAACATTCAACAAATAGTCATTGAACGCCTATTTAAGGTAGCCACCAGTCATACAAAGAACTCACAAGTTTGCCCACAGAGGGCTTGAGGTCAAGTCAGGAATCCCAACAAGCACAGAAGTTCAGTTTGGGGCAGTGAGCGCTCAGTGCTGCAAGAGCAGAGGAAAGGGGCATCCAAAACATTGGGATTTAGGGAAGGTACAGGCCATCACTCCTCCCTGGCACCACAGTTACCACAGAAAAGGAAAAATGATCCTCCAATGGCCCAAAGCCTATCAGCCTCACACACAGAGGGGACTTATGGTTGGGAGTGCAAGTCTCCCACCCTGGCCTCCTGGGCCATCAGGTTGGCATGTGGATAGCACAGGAATGGTACTGTAGATAACTGACCAGGTCTATCCACAAGCTTCAAAGGCATCCTCTGACTGGGTTCCATTTATATTACAAAATGAACCGTTTTCCCCAAATTTCCTTGACCATTTAAATCTATTTGTATTTCTTCCCACTTAAGTACTTAAAGTTCAAATATAAATTTAACACTACGGCTAATTTCCCACGAAGTTTCAAAATATGATCCTTGGCAGGATTATGAAACTTCTTCAGGTCATTCCGGTGGAGGATTAGAGGTGAGAAGCGGATGGAGAGGCACAGAGGGGGATGCAGTGCCAGGACCTGGCACTATCACCAAACATCAGTGTGGTCCACCTGGCTAGGGTGGAAGGAAGAAGGAACACTCCAAAGACAGCAGGGCATATCTGAGCCTCACAGCAGGAGCTAAAAAACTTGCACTGAAATTACTTAGATTTCTTTAAAGTCTCCCTGTAAAGCTATTGCCATATCTAAAGAGGTTTGCTTGTGTACATGAGTGTGTGTTTGTTTTACTTTTAAGGATTGTGAAGCACCAGGATGCTTGATAATGCAATGCCTCAAGCGCCTGCCATAGTTTTGGCTGCTATGTTTTAGTCTTTGCAAACACAATGACTATTTTGAAGATAGTTCCTTAACCCTGTTCCTATACCTGACGTTGTGCTGGGCATTGCGGGACCGTGAAAGACAAGTTATGTCCTCTGAGCTGCTTATGTGCAGAGGCTGACACAGAGACTGCACCTACAATTGGAAAAACTTTGAGCAAGTATATAAATCAAATGATGAAAAAGAATAACACTCTGAAGCAGCATGGGGTAAATGCTGCATATAAATCTTTGCATTACTGCAAACCTCGAAGGTACTGCAACTACCCTCAGGTGCTTTGGAACCATTCCAACATGCATAGTTTAGTTAAATGCACCTATCCAGATGTCGAAATAAAATTAAGGCCTTTCTTGGTCTCCATACCAGAGAATTCCATACACATCTCTACATGACTAAGTCACTTCTTTAACTATTTAGTGTGGTGTGAAGGGCCTGGGAGAGAATTTAGAAGTTGGAAATGTCTAAAAAGTTAGAAAAGAAGAATTACAAGGAAAAATGATTAGATGAAACCATTCTACTTCTAGGAGAGCTAAGTAAAAATGAAAGCTCTTCTAGGGCGGACTTAAATGAAAAGCCCCCTCTGGCCCCTAGAAACTAGAGGGAACACAGAAGGACCCCAGGTGCAGGGAATAAGGACCTGATGTGGGTGAGTGGGAAGGAACAGAGCATGAGTCCAATTTTGTACTTAATCTCCAGGTAAATTGGAATGGATCCTCATATCCCTAGTACTCTTCTCCAGCAATCTGGAAAATTTGGCCAGGATTTGTACCATTTTGCCACTAGACACTGCTGGAAGACAGATAAGATATTGTAGTTAAGGTTCTTTGGGATGCAAGTAACAGAAACTGCCTTTAGCTATAAATGAAATTTACTTAAAGATACTGGGGTAACTCACTGAATGCAAAAGAAAGCTGAGACAAACAAACAAATCAAAACAAGTTCCAGGAAGGGCAGAATCTATAAGCCTTCTTTCTGAAACCCTACTGTTATGGTGACTTAAGTCTACCATTCCCAGGTTTTTCTCTCTTGCTCCTGGAAGAATCTGCTGGTCAGCCCTGCATCAATTGTGAGGCCAAGAGCAGGAACAAGGATGCAATACAGGCATGGCAGCTGAGCATCAACTGTAGTTTAGGTGCAGTTGCCAGAGCTGAGAGGTTTCTTTGTGAGCCACCCCCATGGTATCCACTACTCTCTAAGACAAGCTCATGGTACGGCAGTCCATGGTGATGAGTTGCATTAAAGCTTCACATAGGGAAGAGAGAGGGAGAGAAAACAGGTATACATTAGAGGAGGAATCTAAGAAAGAGTACTGTGCTGGAGAAAATTGTTAAGCATGGAATGTATTACCAAAAAACCCACCAACAGCTGAAACTAGGAACTGAATGTTAAAAAAATAGACTATGTTCTATAAAAAGATGGCTAAGTTGTATGTCTGTCCCAAAGACAAGATGACCTCCTGAGGCTTTCTCCAGTACTAAGATTTTGTGATTCTGTGATAAAATGTCACCCTATTGTTATGATTCGCATTTCTCAAACCCTGTCCATTAGATGTTAATCGATGTTCCATGAATAACAGTTTCAAACAAGTTCAAAGACTATTAAAGTTAAACCTTTGTTATTGTTTATGTTTGTTTGCTTTTCTTTTTTTGCTGCAGGACATCTCTCAATCTTAATATATATACCACGACTCTCCAGAAAAGGACAGGATTATGAATGCAAGATTTACCAAATGTATTTGACACAGAATCTTTTGGTTGATGAATGATTCTTTTTTTTTTTTTTTTTTTTTCTTTTTGAGAGTGAGTTTCACTCTTGTTGCCCAGGCTGGAGTGCAATTGCATGATCTCAGCTCACTGCAACCTCCGCCTCTCAGGTTCAAGCGATTATCCTGCCTTAGTCTCCCGAGTAGCTGAGATTACAAGCACCTGCCACCATGCCCAGCTAGTTTTTGTATTTTTAGTAGATACGGGGTTTCACCGTGTTGGCCAGGCTGGTCTTGAACTCCTGACCTCAGGTGATCTGCCCGCCTCAGCCTCCCTAAGTGCTGGGATTACAGGCGTAAGCCACCACACCCGGCCTTGAAGAATGATTTGGAATACTCTTTGAGCGACTCCTAGTGACAGATTAGGGAATTTTGTGTTCCACAGAACACAGTTCAGAAAACACCACATTAGTCTATGTATTTCTTGGTGTGCTTCAACTAGTTCAAATGGTTGACACACAATGCTCCCTGCTTTCTTGATAATGTTTAATTTAATTCTAGATTTATTTTACACAGGCTTTTTTTGTTAATTCATATACAGTAAAATTCATTCTTTGTGGTGCACAATTTTACAGGTTTTGAAAAATTCCTAGAGCTATCTACAACTACAGTCATAATAAGAACAGTTCCATTGCCCCCCAGATTCCCTCATGCTGCCTGTTTATAGTCAAATCCTTCCCCAGACCCAGTCCCTGGCACCCATTGGTCCGTTTTTCATCCCTTTGGTTTTGCCTTTACAGAATGTCATATAAATGGAATCGTGTATTATGTCACCTTTGGGCCTGGCTTCTTTTACTTAGCAAAATGCATCTGACATTCATCCATGTTGTTATGTGAATCAATAGTTTGTTCCTTTTCATTGTCGAATTGTATTCCCTTGTTTGAATGGGCCATAATTTGTTTTCCCAGTCATCCACTGAAGAAGGTCATATAGCTTTTTACTTGTCAGAAAATGATAAATCAAATGAGCATGTGTTCTTAGCTAACAAATGAAGCATACTCTTGGGTACTATAATATCAAATGAAATTTTGTCTCAGTCAAAGAGAATATCTGATAAACTGCAAATGATTACGTTTTTCTTTTACTTGAGAATAAAAACCATGAGAACATACTGGGTTTGTCCACATCATCATTAAACATAAAAATATCCCAAATAAATTCCCATAAAACTTAAGAGATTTCCCACAGAAGCTGTCCCTGCCAGATAGGAAAACTAGTTAATAGAAAATCCCAGAGGTATTTAAGAATTATTGGTTATTTCGTCATACACCATGACCTCATTTATAGAGCAGACAAAACAACTCTCTTAGAAGTAGGAGGTGATGGGCAGAGGTGAAGTTCCTTTCATAAGAAAAATAAGATCAACAGAATATTACTTATGAAGATCAGAATAATGTGTTGCATCCACTAACCCACTTACTACCTCATTTCATTCTGAATATATCCTCTACTCTCCACTGATCCTTGTGGAAATTCATCAGGGTTGCATTTACAGACCAGGAGTGTCTCATGTTACAAGATGAGACAGGTCACCTTTGGATGACTCAATTCAAGAAAACTTGTCAATTCAAACTCCCCAGTCTGCGACTGCCTCTAAACCCACTCCAAAGAGTTTTGCTCTCCTACTGACAATCATGCATTTCCTCTATGGCTTTAAAAGGAGGACTTTGGCCTTGATGCTGTTTTCCTGGAGAAAAACTGTTTTGGATCTCAAAGCATCTCTGCAGACAAAGAGCTACAGAGACACCTTTTATTTCTGCTATTGTTTTCTTTGTTTCATTTTGTTTTGTTTGATGCACTTTGTGGAGGTCAAGCTTACTTCTCTGAAAATGTATGACAGTCTCTCCGGCCATTTCCAGGATTCCAAGAGTAACTCCATCTAGAAGATGTAAGATTCCCAGAGTTTCTCAAAGACATCGTGTTTAAGGAGGAAATGGTCTTATTTTACTGGCTTGATATTGAGTGTTGAACAATTTCTATTATTCATGCAACAAACATTGAATAAGTCCTAGGGCAGAGAGCACAGGACAGTGAACAGGATAGATGCCAGCCCCGGCCTTCATGTATCTGATAGACACAGGAGAACTGACATGCTTTAAAACAATTTAATGGGGCTAAAAGCTGTTTGAAACTGGCTTCATGGCTCTATGAGAATATCATCAAACTGTCTAAATTCTAGGAAATTTTCCAAATAATGACCGCAAGAAATTGGCTACAGACTTTAACTTCCCACAAAGATACAATTCATTATTGTGCATTCTCCTTAAGACTGAAAGTGCAAAAAACTGTTCGGACTTATAAAAATTAAAGAAAAACAAATTTATAAAAGTAAAGGAAACTGCTGTTCTTTTGAAATTATGTGTGCCCAGAAAGGCCACTGCATTCCCTTAAAGAGAATATCCCTCAAGATAGTTGAGAACTCAGATATAAAAAGTGAAAATAAAGGCTTTTAAAAAATTGTGTATAGATTAAATGTCATTTGTTTTTAAGATGTCCCAAATTCTACCCATTAAAAGAAGATAGTGAGAATTCTGTTAGGTCACTGATGGGTACTGACAGCTTTCAATGTGGGCCCCAGGCTCTGCTGGGCTTCCAGGTAGATATTAACTGCCTTCCCCTCCAGCCCAGAGAAGGGGGCCTATCCCCACCCCACTGCACAGAAAGATGCCAACTTTAGCTAAGCTCCCTGTAAGGAGGTGGTTAATTAGGAGGACCCAGAAAGATGTGATAGTGGGAATGGAGCAGTCACAGAAGCTGAAAACCTCAGAGATACCACTCCCCTGTACCCACCACAGATCATGGTGGGCCAGGCTTTGCCCAAAATGAAGTCAGGTCTCAGAGTCTCGCTCTGAATCATGATCCTCATTCCTCACTGTGAGTGTATTCATCATAACAAATTATCGTAGACTGGGTGACTTAAATGACAGAAACTTATCCTCATGGCCCTGGAGGCTGGTGATGGGAATTTTTCAGCTCCATCATAGTCTTATGGGACCACTGTCATGTAGGCGGTCCATTTTTGAACCAAACCTTGCTATGCGGTGCGTGACTGTGTGTGAATGAGTGAATGAATGTATGAATGGCTCTTTGTTCCAGCTCTATCTCTTATTAGCCATTTTTTCCTTGAGTAATTCAATTTACCTACCCAAGCCTCAGGATTCTAAAGTTAGTGCCTTAATTCACATGGCAATTGTGTAGCTCAAATAACAGAAAATATATAAAAATACTTTATGAACATTTTATGTAAATTTTAAGAGTTACTATTCTGGTCTGTCAAAACACAGAGAAAAGAAGACAAACAACTAATTTTTATGAGTCCAACTAAAATAGATTTTTTATTTTCTTAATATAGCAAGTCTATGCAAATCCACATGTATGGGGCCAATTTTCCAATTCCAGTCTCATCCTAGGAGTTCCCAGATGTCCAGAACTCATAATATAAACATTAGAGAGCACTATTAAATTATAGCAAGGGCATGGCACTTCTCTTTATAGCAATCCAAGGTCAAATGAACCTCTAATGGGACACATAGAGATTCTTCTCTTGGATGACTTCAAAAAGGGCTTGGGGACATACATGTTTATAAAAAACATAATCAGGACTCAGAATTTATAAGTAAAATTATAACACAACTTTGGAATCCAGGCTGCAGAAGTCCAGTAGTATTTAAACTTGAAATGAGACGAAAACTCTGCCATTCCTTTGGTTTACCTGTCCTGTGCACCAGATTTAATTATGTGGGGCAGAGGGCAAACAGACATCAACCTCAGTTCCTGGGAGATGAAGCTGGACTTATTTATTTTTCTCTCATTTTTTTTTCCACAAAAACTATTTCAGGGTTTACTTTGACCCAAATCCCCTGTTGGCCTGCTTTGAGGATAAGGTGAGAGATCTGAGGACTGAGAAGTAATGAAGGCCAAGCATCTTCATTTGTAAGAGGGAAAGAAAAAAAAAATAGAAGCAAAGGAAAATGGAACAGGCTTGTAAGGTAATTAGCCATTTTCAAATGCAGCAATGGGCAAAGGAAACAAAACGTAGAACATGTATTAAAAGTCAAGCAGATGGTTTAGAAAATACAGCTGTAGGATCACACAGATTTTGACCATCCAAACCAAATTCAATTATCATGTCTGTGCTGCTTTTCTCTTTCTGCGACTGAAAGGCTATTATTAGGTGCTCTCTCTCTCTCTTTTTTACATCTCCAAGTAATGCCTTCGTAAAACATTCCAAAAAG